>NC_000003.12:114614664-114917695 GCF_000001405.40 Homo sapiens | reverse complement strand
CAAAAGTCTCTGCCTAGTAATCCAGAGAATTCTTCCAGATCTTGTACAAGACCACCAATATGGTAATTCTATGAGTCTGTAAGAGCCTCAGTGTAACTGACCCTGGAGTGCCCCCAATGTAGACACAGCTGCATTGACCAAAAATTTAGTCACAATAAACAAGTCCCTTTGAATACCTAGAATGCTTCCCCAAGAAGGGTGGGTACAAACAAGTCCAGACTGCCAAGACTACAATAAATACCTACTTCTTCACTGTGTAGACATTAACAGACATCCACAAGCATCAAGACCATCCAGGAAGACATGACCTCATCAAGCAATCTAAATAAGGCACCAAGGATCAATCTCAGAAACACAGAGATAACGTGACCTTTTAGACAGAATTATTGAGGAAACTCAATAAAATTCAAGATAGCATAGAGAAGGAATTCAGAATCCTATCAGACAAATTTAACAAATAGATTGACACAATTTTTAAGAATCAAACAGAAATTCTGGAGGTGAAAAATGCAGTTGACACCCTGAAGAATGCAGCAGCCTCTTAACGGGAGAATTGATCAAACAGAAGAAAGAATTAGTGAGCTTGAAGAAGGACTGTTTGAAAACATATTTAGGAGACAAAAGGACAGAATAAAAAAGAATGAAGCATGCCTACAAGATACTCAACAGGGCAACAGTTATTGGTCTTAAAAGTGAGGTAAAGAGAGAGGTAGAGGTAGAAAGTTTGTTCTGAGGACGGTATTAGAGAACTTCACAAGCCTAGAGAAAGATATAATTATTCAAGCACAAGAAGGTTAAAGAACACCAAGCAGATTTAACCTAAAGAAGACTATCTCAAAGCATTTAATAGTCAAATTCCCAAAAGGTCAAATATAAGGAAAAGGATTCTAAAAGTAGAAAGAGAAAAGAAACAAATAACATACAACAGAGCATCTGGCATCAGACTCTTCAGTGGAAACCTTACAGCCCAGGAAAAAGTAGCATGACATATTTAAAGTGCTGAAGGAATAAACTCTTACCCTATAATAGTATACCTGGTGAAATGTCCTTCAAACATGAGGGAGAAATAAAGACTTTCCCAGACAAATAAAAGCTGAGGGATTTCATCAATATCAGACCTGTTCTACAGGAAATGCTAAATGGAGTACTTCAATTAGAAAGAAAGGGATGTTAATGAGCAATAAGAAATCATCTGAAGGTACAAAACTTGCAGTAACAGTAAAAATATTATTACTATTACATAGTACATAATACTACTGGTATGTACGTAATATGTACATAGAAAAACAACATTATAATACTGTAATCATATTTGGAAGTATACTTGAAATATACTGATATCATACAATACAGATTTCAAGACAAAAACTACAAGAAGAGATAAAGAAGGTCACTATGTAATTATAAAGGGGTCAGTTTAGCAAGAGGATATAACAACTGTAAATAAATATACACCCAACACTGGAGCACCCAGATATATAAAGCAAATATTATCAGAGCTTAACAGAGAGATAGACCCCAGTACAGTAATAGCTGAAGACATCAACATCCCACTTTCAGCAATGAACAGATCATCCATACAGAAAATCAGCAAAGAAACATTGGACTTAATCTGCACCATAGACTGAATGAACCTAATACATATTTACATAACATTTCATCCAACGGCTGCAAAATACGCATTTTTGTCATCAGCATATGGATCATTCTCAAGGATACCTAAGACTACAAAACAAGCTTTAAAATATTCAAAAATTTGAAATAATATCAAATATCTTCTCTGATCACCATGGAATAAAACTAGAAATTAATAATGAAGAATTGTGGAAACTATACAGACACATGGAAATTAAACAGTGTACTCCTGAGTGATCAGTTGGTCAATGAAGAAATTATGAAGGAAATTTTAAAAGTTTTTTGAAATAAATGATAATGGAAACAGAACATATCAAAACTAAGAGGGAAATTTGTAGTGACAAGTGCCTACATCAAGAAAGTAGAAAAACTTTCAATAAAAAAACCAACAATGCATCTTAGAGAACTAGAGAAGCAAGAGTAAACCAAACCCAAAATCGGTAGAATTAAATAAATAATAAAGATCAGTGCAGAAATAAATGCAGTTGAAATGAAGAAAATAATACAAAAGATCAGTGAAATGAAAAGTTGGTTTTTTGAAAAGATAAACAAAATTGACAGACATTTTGAAAAGATAAACAAAATTGACAGAAAAAAAGATAGAAGACCCAAATAAATAAAATCAAAATTGAAAAAGGTTACCTTACAATTGATACTACAGAAATTCAAAAGACCATTAGAAGCTACTATAAGCAACTATTAATACATGTAAATAAATTGGAAAACCTAGAAGAAATGAGTAAATTCCTAGACATATACAACCTACCAGGATTGAACCATGAATTCCAATACCTGAACAGACCAGTAATAAGTAATGAGATGGTAGCTGTAATAAAAAGTCCTTCAGCAAAGGAAACCCTGGGACCTGATCGCTTTACTGCTGAATTTTACCAAACATTTAAAGAACTAATGCCAATTCTACTCAAACTATTCTGAAAAATAGAAGAGGAGGGAATGTGTCCATCTTCTGTGAGGCCAGTATCATCCTAATACCAAAACCAAAGACACATTTAAAAAAAAAAAGAAAAGAAAACAAAGAAAACCACAGGCCAATATCCCTGATGAACATTGATGTAAAAATCCATAAGCAAATACTAGTAACCCAAATTCAACAACACATTAGGATCATCATGACCAAGTGGAATTTATCCCAGGCCTCAATGATTATTCAACACATGCAAATCAATCAATATAATACCACATATCAACAGAATGAAGGACAAGAACCATATGATTATTTCAGTTGATGCTGGAAAAAAACATTTGTTAAGATTCAGTATCCCCTCATGATAAAAAAAAAACCCTCAAAAAACTGGATATCGAAGTAACATATCTCAACATAATAAAAGCCACATACAACAGACCCACAGCTAGTATCATGCTGAGTGGGGAAAAACTGAAAGCCTTTACCCTAAGATCTGGAACATGACAAGGATGCTCACTTTCATCACTGTTATTCAACATAAAACTAGAAGTCATAGTAGTACAATTAGAGAAGAGAAAGAAATAATGCTCATCCAAACTGGAAAGCAATAAGTCAAATTTTCCTTGTTGGGAGATGAGATGATCTTATATTTGAAGACTTCACCAGAAAACTATTAGAACTGATCAATAAATTCAGTAAATTTGCAGGATACAAAGTCAACATACAAAAGTCAGTGACATTTTTATGTGTCAATGGTGAATAATCTGAAAAAGAAATTTAAAAAGTAATTCAATTTATAATAGCTACAGATAAAATTAAATACCTAGGAAATAACTGAAGAAGAGAAAGATCTCTACAATAAAAACTATAAAAGATTGTTGCAAGATATTGAAAGGGACACACAAAAAAATGGAAAGATATTCCATGTTCATGAATTGGAAGGATCAACATTGTTAAAATGCCCATACTACCCAAGGCAGTCTACAGATTCAATGTAATCTCTATCAAAATACCAATTACATTCTTCACAGAAATAGAAAACACAATTATAAAATTTATAGGAAACCACAAAAGACCCACAATAGCCAAAGATATCCTGAGCAAAAAGAACAAAACTAGGAATATCACCTGAGTTCAAATTATACTACAGGGCTATAGTAACCAAAAGAGCATGGTACTGGCATACCAACAGTGTATATAGCAATGGAACAGAATAGAGAACCCAGAAGCAAATTCATACGTTTACAGTGAACTCATTTTCAACACAGGTGGCAAGAACATACATTGGGGAAAGGGCAGTCTCTTCAATAAATGGTGCTGGGAAAACTGAATACCCACATGCAGAAGACTGAAACTAGACCCTTCTCTCTCATTATATACAAAAATGAAATCAACATGAATTAAAGACTTAAGTCTAATACCTCAAACTATGACACTACTGAAAAAAAAAACACTGAGGAAACTTTCCAGGACATTTGACTGGGCAAATATTTCTTAATACCCCATAAGCACAAGCAACCAAAGCAAAAATGGACATATGGGATCACATCAAACTAAAAAGCTTCTGCACAGCAAAGGAAACCATCAACAAAGTGAAGAGACAACCCACAGAATGAGAGAAAGTGTTTGCAAAATGTCCATCTGACAGTGATTAACAACCAGAATATATAAGGAGTTCAGACAACTATATACAAAATAATCCAATAATCCAAATAAAAAATGGGGAAAAGATTTGAATAGACTTTTCTCACAAGAAGACATACAAATCGCAAACTGGTATATGAAAAAGTGCTCAACATCATTGATCATCAGAGAAATGCAAATCAAAACTACAATGAGATATCATCTAACTCCCGTTAAAATGACTTACATCCAAAAGACAAGCAATAATGGGTGGTGGTGAGGATATGGAGAAAAGAGAATCTTTGTACACTGTTGGCGGAAATGTAAATAAGTATAAGTACTATGGAGAACAGCCTGGAGGTTCTTCAGAAAACTAAAAACAGATCTACCATATGGTCCAGCAATCTGACTGCTAGGTATATACCCAAAACAAAGGAAATCAGTATATTGAAGATATATATGCACTTTCATGTTTATTGCAGCACTAGTTAAAATAGCTAAGATTTGGTAGCAACCTAAGTGTCCATTAACAAAAGAATGGATAAAGAAAATATGGCCCATATATGCAATGGAGTAGTATTCAGCCTTAAAAAAGAATGAGGTTCTGTCATTCTTTTTTGTGTGTCAGTGAGGCACAGAAAGACAAACTTAACATGTTGTCACATATTTCTGGGAGCTAAAAATTAAAACAATTGAGCTCACGGAGATAGAGAGTAGAATGACAGTTACCAGAGGTTGGGAAGGGTAACTGGGGAGTAGGAGCCGGGGAAGTGGGGATGGTTAATGAGTACAAAACGATAGCTAGAAAGAAGGAGTAAGATCTAGTATTTGATCACCCAACAGGGTGACTAGTCAAAAATAATTTAATTGTATATTTTAAAATAACTAAAAGAGTGTAGTTGGATTCTTTGTAACACAAAGCATAAATGCTTGAGGTGATGGATACTCCATTTGCCTTTATGTGATTATTAGGCATTATGTGCCTATATCAAAATATCTCATGTACCCCATAAATATATATACTTACTGTGTTCCAAAAATATTAAAATAAAAAGTTTAAAAGTATACCTAATAACAAATAATAAGGAGACAAATAACCCTATTAAAAAGTGATGTGCGTATTACCATTTCAGTATTAGAGTATTCTGATTTTGACTATATGTTTATTTTTACCAGTAAGTTTTATTCTTTCATATAATTTTATTTTATCATCTAGTATCCTTTTATTTCCACTCCAAGAGCTTTCTTTAGCATTTCTTCTAAGTCTTGTGATGACCTCCCTCAGTTTTCCTTTGTCTGGTTATGTTATTATCCCTCCTTCATTTTTGAAGGACAGCTTTTGTGGATATACTGTTTTATTTGGCAGGTTTTTTTTTTTTTTTCTTTTAGCACTTTGAATCTATTATTCCATTCCCTCCTGGTTTACAAGGTTTTTCTTGAGAAATCTACTGATTGTCTTTTGGATGTTCACTTATATGGAACAAGGCTCTTTTCTTTCACTACTTTCAAGATCTCTCTTTGTCTTTCACTTTTGACAATTTGGTTATAATATGTCTTAGAGCATTCCTGTTTGGGATCTCTCTTGGAAGCCTTTATGCTGCTTGAATCTGAATGTCCATATGCCTCCCAGGATTTGGGAACTTTTCTGCTAGTATTTCTTTATATTAGTTTTTGTCCTCTTACTCTGTCTGTCTTCTCTGGGAATTCCTAATTCATATTTTTGTACACTTGGTATTGTCCCATAGGTTCCTCATACTTTCATCATGCTTTTTCAGTCTTTTTCTTGTTGTTCCTCTAGGTGGGTAATTTCAAATTACCTGTCATCATGTTCATCAATTCTTTTTCTGTATGATTGAGTCTGCTGTTGAAGCCCTGTATTGAATTTTTCACTTCTGTCTTCATACTTTTCAGCTATAGGGTATCTGTTTGGTCCTTTTTTTATGGAATATAATATTTAAACTAAACTAATTTTTTAATGAATTATTTTCCTAATTATATTTTGTGGTTTATTTGTGTTTTCTACATCTCATTGGACTTATTGAAAATCATTATTTTGAGTTCTTTTTCCCTGTGCTGGCAGGACTGCTCTGAGAGAGCAGCCAAGAGGAACTGGAGCTAAGTGGGAGCTCCCTTTTAGGATCCTCAGCCAAGACAAATGACTGTCACCTGAGGCATTAGTGTGCATGACTTCTTCCAGGCCCCTTTGTCGATGTTTTTGATACAGGATGTTGGAGCTATTTCCATGTCTGAAGCTGGGACCATCATTGGCAAGTCTGTCATGTGGGCTTGATTCTACCCTCTCAAAATGGCCTTCTTAGGTCTTGGGTGTCACTAGTGTTCACAACCCCCTACTTGAGCCCCAAAGTTTCAACTAGGGCACTTTTTTTTTTGGGATAACTAGAAAATTTTTATTGCTGTGGGGGTATATGTCTGAGGGACCTCCTGTTCTCTCATGTAGGGTATTGAAGAACAAGAATAGGACAGAGAAAATATTTAAAGACTTTAAGAAGAAAGGTTAAAAATTCCCAAATTTTGTGAAAGACATGAAGCTTAGTGAACTCTAAACACAATAAACGTGAAGAAAACAACACTTGGGAACATCATAGTAAAGCTGCTAAAAACCAAAAATTATGCTTTATTTAAAATTGGGTGAAGTGTTAGGGAGACAGCATAATGTCCTCTGTGAACATAATTAAGAAAGATGAGTAAATAGTACAAGGCAGTGTTTAAGTACATGGTCTTTAGAGTCTCCCTCTATCAACTGCTGCTACTTATTAATTTTATGACTTTGAGCCCATTTATTTTTTTTGAGCATCATTTTATTTATACAATTGTGATAATAATGAAAATAAAACCACTTATATGGCTGATATACAGATTAAATAATATATGCAAAACTCTTATCAAACACTTAGTAGTAGCTAAATAAATAATAGCTATTGTTACTTTTCTTTTTCTGAGTGTCTTTTGGCTAGCTTGTACCTCTTCTAAATCCTCACCATTGTAAATAATTTTTCTTTCTCATAATACCTTTATCTGGGTTTGATATCAGTGTTCAAGGGCCTTATACAAGAGTTGAGGTGCTTTCCTGTTTTCTATGGTCCAATTTTTATCACATAGACCTCAACAGATTTTTAAAGGTTTATTAAATTTTATATTTAAATATATTTGGGCCTGGTAATGTGTGTGTGTGTGTGTGTGTGTGTGCACGCGTGCATGTGTGTGTGTATGTTTATATAAATTTCTAACCACATATGTGATATCTTTATAATTGTCGAATCAGAGTTTCTAGTTCTTCTTAGGCAAGTTATATTTTTCTACAAAATTGTTCATATTATTTCACTTGTAAAATAACTTGAACATTTAAGTCAAATTAGCATAAAGTATTTCATAGTATTCAGTAATCACTTAAATGTCCAAATAGATTTGTTTTTTCTTTTTAATTTTATTTCTATCTTCTTTTTTATAATAAAAATTCCCAGAGATTTTTCTACTTTATTAGTCATTTAAAAAAAGCAACACTTAATTTTGTTGACTGTCTTTACATTTTTGTTTTTCATTTCCCTTATGCTCAGTATTATTGTTACGTTTCAGCTTTTACATTTTTTGGTTTTACTTTTTTGTAACTTTTCTAATGTCTTGATAATTTTAGTCTTGTCTTTTCTTTTTAGCATATTAACTTAAAGTTGTACTTTGCTCCCTAAGACTGTTTAGCTGCATTGCATGAGTTTTGATATATAGTCATGCATCTCGTAATGACAGGGATACATTCTGAGAAATGCATTGTTAGGTGATTTCATCATTGTGTGAGCATCATAGAGTGTACTTAGATAAACGTAGATGGTATGGCCTATTGTACACGTATGCTGTATGGTATAGTCTTTTGCTTATAAGTTATAATTAATACCGTGAATGGAGCTTGCAAGACTGGAAGTTGCTCTGAGAAAGTTAGTGAGTGAGTGGTTAATGAATGTGAAGGCCTAGGACATTACTGTATGCTACTGTAGACTTTATAAACACTGTACACTTAGGCTACACTAAATTTATAAAAGTTTCATATTTCTTCAATAATAAATTAACCCTAGCTTACTGTTAAGTGTTTTACTTTATAAACATATTTTTTAACTTTTTGAATTTTTTGTAATAACACTTAGTTTAAAGCTCACATAAATTGTATAGCTGTACAAAATATTTTTTCTTTACATCTTTATTCTGTATTTTTTCCATTTAATTTTTTTTAACTTTTTAAACTTTGCTAAAAACTAACAAAAATGCACACATTAGCCAGGTCTACACAGGGTCGGGATCATCCATATCACTGTCCTCCACCTCTACATCTTGTCCCACTGGAAGGTCTTCTGGCGTAATAACATGCATGGAGCTGTCATCTCCTGTGATAAAAATTCCTTTTTCTGAAATATTCCCTGAAGGACCTACCTGATGCTGTTTTACAGTTTTCTGAGGTTTTATCAGTTTTGGAAAAGATTCATCATCATTTCAGATATTGCATTTTTGTCTTTATTTTTTTTCATTCTTAAATACTTATTAGATATGTTAGAGTTTTTTATTTTGTCATTTATATCTCCTAATCTTTTTAAAAAATATCTTCTATCTCTGTTTTATGGTAGGTAAATTCCTTGGAATTATTTTTCAGTTCAGTAATCCTCCCTTTAGCTCCATTTAATATGATAAATTCTCACTTCAGATATTAATTTTAATGACAATTTTATTTCTATAAATCTCTGTATATTTATCAAATCTGCCTTTTTCATAGTTTCTTTCTTTTTTTATTTTGGCCCTCAGATTAGTTCCCTAAGATTGTGCCCTATTTTGAACTTAATGCGTACATTTCATTTAAAGTTTTTCATCTGCTGACTCATTTATGGATGAACCTTTCTTCGGATTTGATATTTTTGATATATGAGCTCTTTTTCATTGGTGTTTGCTTTTTCTGTGAGACTCCCACATGACCTGAGTTGTTGAAGGTATCCTGCAAAAGTGGATTTGTTTCTTCTAGGTATTCCAGATCTATTAGGAGGTTGCCATTCTCAGTGATTACAGTTATTGCAAACTTTATTTGTACCCCTAAATTTCTCAGGTTATTACTGAGCTGGATAATTCCCCTGGGAGGGTTGTGGTAGAATCATAGTAATGCCAAATACCCTAGCTCTATCTTCTTGATTTCTAAGTTCCTTTCTTATGAAACATTTTAAAACTTTTATGTATTTGATGTTTATATATTCGTACAGAAATGTTTCTATAGGACCTTTATATTTTAATAGAAACATTTCTGTGTGAATATAGCCTGACATTTTAAAGAAAAGTCTTTCCTATTTCTTTGGCTTGAATGCCTTTCGTATACCTTTATATTTTAATAGAAACATTTCTATCTGAATATAGCCTGGCATTTTAAAGGAAACTCTTTCCTATTCCTTTGCCTTTTCTCCAAGGCATTTCTGGCTAACTCCCTCCTTCATTTCTTTTGGGTCTTCACTTGAATGTGATCTTTCCATAATTTCTTTGCTGGTCCCCCTATCTAAAATTTCAACCCCAACTCCCAATCCCATCATTTACTTTTCCCTTTCCCTGCTTTATTTTAATTCCTTAGCGCAGATAATTGTCTGTCATTCTATATATTTATTATCAGACATCCACAACAAATATATATAATCTCCATGAGATCAGAAATTTCCATCTATTTTGTTCACTCCTAAATCACCACCACTTGGAACAATGCCTGTCACATAGTAAGTACTCAATAAACATTTTAGAATAAATGAATGAAATATCCAATGGTTGTATATTGTGTGCTTTGTCCTGAACTAGGTGGTGATGACAAAAAAGAAAGAAAATAAACCAGATTCTAGCCCTCATGAAGACGATGGTCTTGCAGGGAACATAGACTACTAAAATCACAGTTTATCACCTCTGATTGACAAAGGCTATGAATTCAGATGAACTCTTGATGAGCTTATTGGTACCAGGTAGATATTCCCTGAGAAGTATGGGGATGGGGTGATTACTTTTGTTATGCGGTGCATCTCAGACTTGTTCTGTCTGAATATTGACCAAATAATACACATACACACATATACGTACACAGAAAAGATAACGATTTAGACAGAAAACAATTTTAATGAGGGAGCTGACATAAGTTTGACCAAATTAGTAAGAATACTGAAAGCAACTAAGTATGAAAATAGAATTTCCGATGAAGTATTTTTGGTACCAGTTTTTTCTTGCAGGGTTGGTAGCCACTGTCTGATGAGCACA
This sequence comes from Homo sapiens, assembly GCF_000001405.40. Taxonomy (NCBI): domain Eukaryota; kingdom Metazoa; phylum Chordata; class Mammalia; order Primates; family Hominidae; genus Homo; species Homo sapiens. The sequence continues at coordinate 114,907,239 of NC_000003.12, read as the reverse complement.
AAATGCAAAAAATTAGCCTAACTACATTCTGCTGCCTTGTAATTGCACCTAAAGAGCAAGAACACATTTGCCTTTTATACTTCTGCAAGTAGTACATAGAAAAGGATATGCTGTTACTTTATTATAGTAAATAATAAGGTTCATGGCTATATTTACAAAGGTTGAGTTTTCAGCATGTGAAATGATGTGAAGAATGTTAAATCTCTAATACGTGTTTAATGTACATTTCAGTTGATTTTTCTCCAACTATAATAGTAGCAATTATTTTATTTATATGAGGGGAAGACTGCGTCACCTAAGGGAAAAGCTAATAGATTTCTTGGCAGTTTTTGTATCATGTTGAAATCTTTTTCCATTTCTAACTGCTGTGAAATTCTCGCTACTCTGTCTTACACATTTTTTTTTATGTATTAACCCTAACACCAACTTACTTTTCTCTGCATTTAAGCCCTTATTTCATCTATGTTTTCCTACCTAAAATGTATTATCCTGGTTACTTGATGAAGTTTTAGCTCAATCTTGTTGCAGACGCTGGCTGGCCAAGGTAAAGGAACTAATCAATAGTGAGCCCCTTCTCCTAAATGCCATAGATAATGCTAATAGCTACTTGTATACATATAATCTCATTAAGTCATCATAAAAACATAAAATTTTATATAATATAAAAATTTTATATTATATAAAATCCCCCTCATTTTAAATATGATTAATCTGAATATTAGAGATGGTTATGTAAGTTTACCTAGGACACATACCTAGTAAGCTTTAATTCAAACTCAAAACTTCTAATTGAAAGTGGTTGCTGTTGTTGTGATTCCATTGCTTTTTCTAGGTACTATACCTTCATCCTACCTAGAATTGCTTTTGAAGTTTTTCTGCCTTGCCTTTGATTGAACAGAATTTACAATAAAAGATTTTCTACATCATCAAGGCTTCCACAGAGTTCAAATGAAAACACTTTTTAGGGGTAGCTGTTAACTGCCTACTTTTATAGTCTCTTGATTGAAAGCTACTGCTCTAAATTTACTGCTCATATTTTTGAACTCATGTTTGTCTTATACATCTGACAAATACTTATTAAGTGTTGACTGTGTGTCAGGCACTAAACTAGACCCTGGGTATAGAGTAGTGAATAAAGTAGTGTGGCCTCTATGGAGTATACAATCTAGTGGGAAAGAAAGAGATAATAAACACATAAGCCAATAATCACCCCAATAATTTAAACTGTCATATATGCCACAAAAGAATAAAATAGTGGAGGTATCTGTCTCAGGAACTATAGCTAGAAGAAGTTTTTTAGAGAAAGTATAAGAACCACATAATTGGTTAGGAACTGCAGAACTCTTTCAGTGAACTCTGTGTAACAGTTTCTTCCATACCGAGTATCTGTTAACAGGTAGGATTTGGACAACTCATTCTTGTCCAATGTGGGGCCAAACTAACGAGGCTTTCTAACCTGGTGTTAACATTTGAGACTCAAATTCTCATATTTTAAGTTTGTACTGATTAAGAGGAAAAATAGGTAGAAAAAGCACAAGAAAATAGATTGGAAGATTAGTCCTTTAAAGATTGGGAATAACTTGTTTACGAATGTGATTCCTTAATTTTTTATGCAGTGTGAATTTTCTTAATCATCAAGAATACAAGCTAACACAATTCATGCAACATTCCTTTAGCCAATATTTAAGACCTACCTACCACACATTATGTACTGTGCTAAGTAAAAACTACAGATGTAATGGTGAATAAGATACAAATGCTGGTCCCCAAGTTTACAGTCTTATGTAAAAGACAATTCCAGTGCAATAAAATGATTATTATGACAGGATTAGACACAGGATATCAGATTCTGGAGGAGATAATATCTAAACTAAGACCCCAGGGATGTATACAAGCAGGCCAGTAAAATTTTCACATTTTCTGAGAATAAATCATTGATTTCAATAGCCATAACTTCAAGTTGAGGATATTTTGAAAATATAATTTTTAATATTTTCTAAATTTTAGGTTCTTAAATACATTTTTAAATTAGCTCTTAAACTTTTATTTTAAAAGTTGTGAAGTTTAAGTTAAGTCATAAAAACCCAACAGCTATTTTCTCTAGAATATGCTGTGAAGTGTGGATTATAGGACAATTAGAATTATTAACACTTAGTGTATTGTAGATGAGGTTTCTACTTGAGAGTTCAAATTTATCATGTTTATACATGAAATTTGATATTAAATTCTTTCATTTTAAGTGGCATTAATTATAGAAAATTCAAATTTTGCAGTTTTTGTAAATAAGCTTTAGTTTTTCGTGGATTTTATAGCTTTATTACAGCTTATCTGACCTAAGGTCTAGACAGATCAACTGTGCCGTTGGGTTAACGGTGTTTACCATATGATTTCCTTTTCCTTCTTTATTGCACTTTATCTGTTTCCAGTTCACAGTGTTGATTAATAGATAACTGTGCTCCTCATACTTCCTCTTTCTTATAGGCAGATAGCTTTTCAAAATGAAGGGCCAGACCTAGCTCAGTAATTTACAAAATAAGCATAAGTTTTTCAAGTCTACTTGACAATTTATAGTTCTTACTCTTCATAGGACTTTCTGTTGAGAGAAACCACAGAAGCCAGGTACCTCAATTTTCAAAAGTAAAATTGGCTTTATTGATGAGTAAAGTGTACATTTTATAATAACCATATAATAATGATACAACATCCAGCTCTGTAGTGGGTCCAGAAGGACTAAATACATATTAAATAAAATAAAATTATTTTGAATTACATAGTCTTCTCTCAAAATATCAAATTTAAATGTAAAGCATGTAAAATAGTCCTGTGGATGCTTCCTCAGTCATGGGTGAAATTCTTTTTGTTTAAATTTAGGTTTAGAGCTCTTCTATGGAGTGGTTGTACCCACAGGCCCAGGTGAGATCCTTGTTAGTACTCTAAGTGAATTAGCAAGTAGATTTATTAATGGCTTAAGGGGCATCTCTAGCCAGGCCCAACTAGTATGAAGGGAAGATGAACTATTTCTGTATTCTGTAACATAGAATTGGACCTATCCCACTGGAGAACACAGCTATGCCAACCTAGAAGTAAAAAGAACTTCAAACAAACAAACAAACAAACAAACACTCTATAGTATATCTGCATCTGGAATGGTGCTAATAGTAACTTCACCCAATGCGAGTGAAACAACTCTAGCAATTACATGAACTGTGTGGGAATCTGAAGACACGCCACTTAACAACTCAGGATCTGTGCTGTCCTTTAAATCAAAACACAAATAAGGACTAGAACAACATCAGTATGCATCCATTTCTGTCTTCCCAGCCATAAGAAAAAAACTGACTCTAACGTTTTTTTTTACTTAGAGTTGCAAACCTCATATATAAGGCTCTGGTCATCTGCAGGATCTCCTTAGAATACATAAAAAGGTGATAAGTGCCTACATGTGATTGCTAAGACCATTACACGGCACCTTGGTCCAATTCCAGTTGAGTAATTATATTCATTTTGTCCTTATTTTCCTTTTCCTGATTGTTTCAGTTAAATGTGGAAAGTGATCCTTCATTTTTCACCCAGAGAAGTTCGGCAGTGTTGCTGCACGTATTATTTAGACTTTACTGCCTTTCTTTTCAGTCATAGGAATGGAGCTTAAAAGTGCTGGTTAGAATTGTTATTGTGGCTATTACTATTGTTGCAGTGTTGCCTGATTCAGAAATGTTCTGTGAACATCAAGCACATGACTGGCTTTTGGATGAGCTGCTGGACTGTAGGGTGATGTCTTCAACAAGCCTTCTTTATCTCCTTACTCCTTGCCTAGCTTAGTTCCTTAGCTTAAAGGGACAGACATGCTTTCCCTTTTCATACAACTATGATAGTACTAACAGTTCCCTTTTATCAAATGCTTACCTCATGGCTGGCACTGTGCTAGTTCCTTTATATGGCTATAACATATAACCTGCATAGACAACCTCGTAGGGTGAGTAACATGATCACCATTTTACAGACAGAAAATTTAAATTGCTTAGGATCACAGAACTAAAGATGGGGAGCTGGAATTTGATTCCAGGTTTGTTTGATGGCAAAAGCTAAGTGCTTAACTACCACCCTACCTCATAACTCTACTGCTTCCCAGAACTCTGAGCCCCAGTCTATGGATCACTGATCACACAAATAGCTTCTTACCTTCTCTTAGTGTTTGTCACCACTTCACACAGATTGACCCCATTGACCTCACATTGGAATAATCCTGCAGCACTGGCCTCAGAAGGGCATTGCTGATTATGTTTACAGGCCAGCAGGAAACTGAACTGCTATTGAGAGAATCTCTATGCTGAATCATTTTATCTGCATAACAAAAGTGGTTTGCTCTATCTTCTTTTCTTTCCCTGGTGGTGTTGTCATAACAGTGTCTTTTAGCAGGATTAACCAGTAACTAACTTATTTGCTTTGGTTTCCAATAAATAACTGCAGCCTGTTAATAATTGTGCATGTGTTTTATGTGGCCTCAGATAAACTGAGACAATCTTACACATCTGCATTCCAGATTGGGTCACTATTCCTTCATACTTAATCTCCTATTATGTAACTGTCCATTAACAAAAAATAGATCACATAAGGAAAAAACTTAAATACTTAATTTGCTAGTGCATTAATAAGTGATACTAATACACATGACTTTTTATTGTTACCTAAAGATAGGTGTTTGCTCAGAAATATAAAAAATAAACCTAGTGTATGTTTTCTTGCTTTAAAATGTACCAAATCTGTCACAAATGCTTTGAACTGTATTGTGTTTACTTCTTCATGTGAGCTGTGTCTAAACATTTTTTAGTGTTTTTAAATTGTTAGCTCAATGAGGGTAAGGTGTGTCCTAATTTATCTGTTAGCACGTTGCAGTGCCAAACACAGCACCATGCAGGCAGTAGATGCTCACTGAATGTGATTGAATTAGTGAATAAGTTAGGCTGTGCTAGGTTGAAGAGATTTGAAGTCCTAAATTATTCTTGCCATCATTTCACTCTGCATAATAAGTAAAGAAGTTTTACTAAGATGATTTAAAAATGTGTTATTGAATTACTTGTGTAGATTCCAAAGCACTGGGATAAAAAAGACCCTGGCTATGCCCCTTTGAGGAAGCAGTGAGGGTGTTTCTCACTGTAGGCACAGTTACTGGGTTTTATTTGTGACTGAATTAATTTATTTCTCTTAGGAAGGTTACATTTATGAATTCAATATAGCATTTTATAACTTTTTCCTTTTACCCCTACCCTACCTACTATTATTTTTTCCTATTATAAAAGTCATGCTTATTGTAGATAATTAACTATATATGAAAGTAAAAAGAAAAAATTAAAATCATCCAAAGTCTTATTATCCAGATATAATCACTCTTAATTCTTTGTTTTGTTCTTTGTTTTTTCTTATTCACATAATTTCATACTGTCCATGTAATTGGTAGTCTACATGTTTATATAATATTTTAGCATCATAATACTATAAATTTGCATTTTTCCGTAAAATTTAAAATATTCTTTAAAGTACCTTGTTAAATTTTGCCAAATATTCCTTTATATAGATGTGCTATGCTTTATTTAATTATTTTTCTATTAGATATTTAGGTTGCTTATAGTTTTTTACTGTCATAAAAATTATCTTTTTTACATAAATTTCTGTTGGTTTTCTATTACATTTGATTCCTGGGACTAAAATTACTGAGTAAAAATATTGAACTTTGGGTTCTTGATACATAGTACTCAGTGGGTTTCTAGAAAGTCTTTTGTAATCCACATTCCCATCAGAATATACGAAGATGTTGTTTTATTGAGCCATCATCAAAATTATTACCTCTATATACTTTTAAGCAGTATTATAAAGTGGACTTACTGACTATAATGTGTTGCTGTAATCGACTGTGCTCAGAAGAACTATATAAATTAAACATGTCCGTTTGCTTTCAAAAAGAATTTTTTTTTTTTTTGAGATGGAGCCTCTCTCTTGTCACCCAGGCTGGAGTGCAATAGCGTAATCTCGGGCTAGTCTCGAACTCCTGACCTCAGGTGATCAGCCCACCTCAGCCTCCCATAGTGCTGGGATTACAGGCGTGAGCCACCACTCCTGGCTAGAACTAGGAAATATTTTTAAGAGTACCAGTAGTTCCCAGGCTGTATGTTGCAATACAGTTTCCACCTAAATCCAAATGTTTTTCAGGTCTAATTGTAAACTGCTACTTTTGTTTAATGTGGACTTACATAGTCTTCTGTATCAATACCTACTTCGCTGGCAGTTTTGTCAAAGTGTGTTGAGTTGAGGCATTTTGCATTATATCCGACGTGGTGTTAGCATTCCTTCTTGTAGCAATCAATTTCATTTCTATTTGCTGTTGTAACTCAAAGTTAACGAACATTCAAAGTTTACTTTCATTTATTCATGCATTTTTTTGTGGACTGCTCTACAAAAGCACCTTTCTTCCTTAACAACATTCTATCCAAACTGAGTGCAGATGAATCTGAGTAGTTTCATTTTAGAGAGCAGCAGTCATATTTGTATTAGGAAGGCAATAGTCTTGGAAGAATACCAAAAAAAAAAATCATTTTAAAGTGTTTGCCTCGTCCTCTAGTGAAAGCATTTGAGTTTCAGAGGCCATGGTGAGTCAGAGTCCCTTGCTAGTGCTTATGATACACTGCTAAGGGACTCTGTGTGTGTGTGTGTGTGTGTGTGTGTGTGTGTGTGTATATATTTTCAGATATATGAAATATCCTATAGGGAAAATATTGATAAAAAATAATTTACCTCTTTATGCACTGAAACTTTTCCTACTTCTCTGCAGGAATTGTTGCAACATAAATACTGGTTCCAACTTAGTAAATTAATTTTTACTTATATATTTCTTTTACATTTCAGAATTGATGAATTGCAAGTTTGTGCCCCATAGCTGCACAGGTATGTATATGAATTACCTATAACTATGTAAATCTATATATTAACTAACAAGTTATAATATTTTTATGTATTAAAATTGCTTATAGATTTCATAATGTAAAAATGTTAATTCTTGATTACTTACAGATAATGACAGCTTCAAAGGATAGTACATTTTATACATATATTTTATTTTATTCTATTGTAAGAATCAAGTAAACATTTCTAAGATTTGATAAGGCAAATAATTTTAATTACAAAGCATTCATCTGGTGAAGAGATTATTTTATGGAATTGTACTATTAAAGTGAACGGTGATGTGGGGTCAGACCATTGCAAAACCACAGTTTTGCCATTATTGTTTTATTTAAACTTTTTTTTATTTTGCTGCTTTTGAGTTTATTTTCTGTGATGGTTGCTTTAGGTATGGAGTGGTTGCAGATGTACTGTCTGCTCCACTGTCTCAAGCACTAGACGAATGGGAAAAAAAAATGTTTGCACCTGTTTAAAATCTCAACCATGCAGTGTTGTGGTTCCTGGGCAACAGGCAGGAATTCTCAAAAGCTTGGTTGCACCTGCTCAATTGTTGCTTGCAGCTGTGTCATATGAGTGAGAGCACAGAGAAGCTTGTTAGCAGTGTGCTTGTGCTCTTACGTGTTTTGTGTACTCTGACTCTGAAAGATTCTTACTTGATGTAGACCTTGAACTGTTACATTGGTTTATTCTAAAACTCACTGGTTTTAGCTTCTGAATATTTTCTTTAAATCCTCTGTTTTATGACTCAAATATTTTTTTTTTAGTAGCTGTTGACTGCCCTAGATAATGTGTATGCCAACTTCTCGAAAGAATATCTGGGAGAGTAGATCTCTTCAGATAACTGGGTTGATAATAATTTTTGTCCTGGTAGAGACATTTTGTGTTTGGCTCAATTTCACCGTGTTGGCAGCCCCACTATGTGAGGCTGGATGTAGTTATTGATCCATTTAGCTGAACAGATTTGAAAGCATTTGGCTATTAGTGGACACATGGGGCATATTCAGAAAATTTAAGGGTATATTGTAAGATAATTCCTTAATTTGTGCATGTGTTTCTGTTGCTGTTGGGGTAGAAGTGAGAGAGAAAAAAAGTGAAGATTAAATAGTAATTCTAAAAGAGGGGCTAAAATCCAGATGTAGATTTTATGGAATATTATTCTTTAATTTAACAAATGCTAGATGCTTGGTATTTTTTCACAAATGTTACTGGTAATGATATTAAATGTATTTTAGTTGTGGCTTTGTATGTTTTCTGACAGATATCTATATTTTTGATATAGACAAGCTATTATAGATTGTATATTTTACTAATAGGTAAAGTTCTATAAATGCAATAAAAAGCTGCAACTCAATATTAAAGATATTTAATTAATTTATTCAGTAGGCTCAAATTTCTCATATTGAAAACATCCAAATGACTTGCATTACTCTCCTTAATGTATTCTTTTAAATGCTGAGGAGTTTCCGTCGGTATTTAGTAACATAAATCTGGTCTTAGAGTTGGTGTGTCTTTTCCTTTTATTGGCCCATTTGGAATCCTTTTTTGTATTTTTAACAAATCACTTTGGTATTAATTTAACCTCTTTGGAAGTAGGAAACACAGTACAAAGGTAAGTAGAGGATTGCCACAGCCTCTTATACAATGCCTTGTACATAGTAGTTGATCAGTAAATGTTGAATGAATGCATTTATGAATAAAACATTTCTGGAGTTGTATTAGAAATAGAGGGATTGTGTCCTAAAATCTTATTACTTGTTATACAGTTTAGATAAGTCTTGATGGCCTTTAGTTCTCATACTGCCAGTTACATAGATATGAGAATACTGATAAATTCTGTCCTTAAAATGAGAAATTAATGTATAAGAACTGATCCTTTTTGACTATTTTAATGAATAATTGAAATAACACTATTTGCAATGTGCTTTAAACTAACTTTTACTTATTACAAGAAGTCTGTATGTTATTCCCATTATACACATAAGGCTGAGGCATTAATGGCTAAGTTACTTGTCACCTTGGAAATACTTTGCAGCCCATAAATAAACAAATCTATGTTATATGGTTAATGCCTCGTCTTTCCTGAGCACTGGCTTATGCTTCTCCCTCCCTATCTCTATCTCACTAAAACACAAAAATAAAATGTGTGTTTAATTCCTTTGGGTCAGTTAAGATCAGAATATTAAAAAATCTGTAATTATTTTTCTAAGCAAAAGTAATGGACCCTGTGTTTACTGTATACATGTTTATAATTATGGTCTCTATGACTCACTAAATTTTAATTATAAATAGAGGTAAAGCCAAGCAAGAGTAGAGTCAAAATAGAACAGTTAAGACTTGCTTTAGATAGATCATTCTAATGTTCCGTTTTGTGTGGCATAAGCCCGTCACATAAGATTGGCACAGTTTACATAATAAGCCAGTTATCTATTGCATTAAAACCTTTTGTTTAGGCTTCTCAAATTTTAGTACCACTGGTTTATGACACATGTACTTTTAGGCATGGAACTACCTTTCCTCTGGGAACAGTTTTTCTTTTACCTCAGTTCACACCAGTGTGCAAGAGGCCAATATCAAAGACATCGGTTTTTTCCAGTGAATCTTAGTGTGGTAGATTGAACTCTATCTCTCTGTTAGTCTCAATATTAGAAATTAGGAGATGAGCCAAGAATATATATTTGCTAGAATATTAATCATTAAACTAGACAGATATTAGCAGCTTTTTGAGGGTCCTGTGTCAGGAATTAGCCTGGAATCTCAAAGAGGGAGGAATTCCTATGCCCTAGGATTCCTGAGCATTATTGCAGGTTCCCCTGCGATTTCAGGGTTAAGGAAATAAAGAAAGAAAATCCACATTTATTAAGAACATAGCATGACTAGATATAATTTCTTTTTTCCCCCTTCTTTCCCTCTCTCCTTTCCTCATTTCCTTTTATTCTGCATGGTGAATGGATGTCTGCTGTTTGCTAGAAATTGTGCTAGGCTAGATGAATACAACAAAATCTTTGTTCTCAAGAGGATACAGGCTAGTGAGAGACAAAGATATATCAATAGAGTTCTTTTTGACTTCACCACTTATTATTAGTATGGTCTCAATCAAGTTACCTAATGTTTCTGTTCCCTTGTTTACTCATTTGTAAAACTGGGAAAATAATAGTATCTGTTGTCTGAGAGTTAATAACACACTACATGTAAGATTCTTGGTCCACTGGTTGGCACATAGCAAGTACTGAAGAAATCTTAGCTATGCTACTGTCATTTCTATCACTACCAGTTCCCTCGCCATCACCACTACTGCAGTTTAGACTCTGAAAAAAGAACATCTAATTGCCTGGGAGCAGGGATCCTGGTTGGGCATTATCACATAGATTGTACTCAGAGGTTCTATACAAAGTTACCTCTGCTTCCCTGGCCTTAGAAGATATTATAAAAATCATGAAGCAATGTACTGAATCTAAAAGACCTTCATGTGATATTTTTATTATTTTCCCCAAATTTTTGTATTTGGGAAAAATACACACAACATGAAGTTTACTATCTTAACTATTTTTTGGTATACAGTTCAATGGTATTAAATACATTTATGATGCTTGCACAGCCATCACCACAATACATCTCTATATAACACTTTCATGTTGTAAAACTAAAATACTATACCCATTAAAATATAACTTCCCATTTCCCTCTGCACTCCCACCCCCAGCCTCTGGCAGCCACCATTTTAGTGTCTGTCTCTGTCATTTTGACTTCTCTATGTAGTTATATAAGTGGAATCATATAGTATTTCTCTTCTCGTGTTTGGCTTATTTCACTTAGCGTAATGTCCTCAGCATTCATCCATGTGGTAGTACATGTCAGGATTTCCTTGTTTTTATGGCTGAATAATAATTAATTGCATGTATATACCACATTTTGCCTGTCCATTCACTCATCAGTGGACACTTGGATTGCTTCCATGTTTTAATTATTATGAACAATTTGGCTATGAATATAGGTGTACAACTATCTCTCTGAGAACCTGCTTTCAATGCTTTTGAGTATATACCCAGAAGTGGAATTGCTAGATTGTATGGTAATTCCATTTTCATGTGTTCTTATAATAAGATTAATTTCATTTAAATTGAATAAAGCCTTTTAGGTTGTGTTTGTGAATAGCATTGATTTCCTCATAAGGAGAATAAGTTGAGTTAGGTTTAGCAAGAACACATCTACTGCTTATGTGAGTTCAAATGCTTTCAACACGCCTGTGAATTCCTTAAATAAATCACCATCTTGGAACCCAGTGATGCACTTAGGATATCTGGATTGTAAATCTCATGCTTGAGTTTGAATTTAGGAGCTTTGGATTCCCTCCCACTGACCTTTACCAAAAGTCTAGCTCCATTATTCAGTAGCTGTGCGACCTCATCGAGGTTGGCAGAGCTTACTAAGCCTCAAGCTTTCCTATGTATAGTATGGTGGTAACAACACCTACCTTTTTAATGGTGGATATGTGGATTAAAGTAAATTAGGTATACAAAATACTTTATTTTGTGCACCACTACCACCTATGTATTATTGCATAGTAGTCTCTGTGTATTATTTTTTCCTCTCTTCTCTTGACAAAATATAAAAATTTTTATAATCAGTAGTATAGGAATTTCAAGGAAGTGTGGGACACATACATTAAGAAAGTTAACTTTGGTCCAATTATGGCTCTTGTGATATCTGTTGCTTATCTCAGTTCAACATAATTAGACTCATAATTTCTAACTATACATGCCACATTTCTATAGAAGGCTAGGGCTGTTTAAAGAAAAACTTAAGATGGGGATGCTCACATTCACTTCAATGTCTGTTGATTATGGAGGTATGTCTTGCAATAGAAAGCGTGTTGACACAACCCAGACAACTCTCATCCCTCTTCTGAAAGTCAGATACCTTTAAAAGCAGTCTCTTGCAAAGGATGAAGAACCCATGCTTGATGAGTTACTTTCATATGCATCAAAATGACTTAAAAGTGGTCCTGTTGGTAATCTAAGCAGCCTCAGGTTTAGTGAGCATAGTTGTCAGTGCATAAATCGCTGTGTAAGGTTTTATTTTTTCTTGAGAAGGAAATTAGTGTGGTAAGATTTTCTGATTTCCTTCTATGCAAACTCAACAGTAGAAAAGTGGATTTATGAATTTATATGTATGATTTTCCCTTAATTATCTTTAATAATAACTAGATGATCTTAATTATAGTAAACCATTTTCCTCTGCCAGGCTGTTTATATTGCAGCAGTATCTTCTTGTACAGCAATCAGAAAAGGATTCTTTTAAAATAATGAAAACATCACTAGATAATATATATAGAATTGATTATTACTCACCAGAGGTAATACAGACCTGCCTAATATCAAATGTATAGTTTCGACCATGATGAATCAAGGTAAATATTGATGATTAATGGAATTTTTATTTAGTTGGGAATATTACAAAGGACCACAAACTTGGTGGCTTAAACAGACATTTGTTTTCTCACAGTTCAGAAGTCTGAAATCAAGGTTTATTAGCCAGGTTGGTTCTTCTCAGGGCTGTGAGGGAAGGATCTGTTCCAGCCTTTCTCCTTGACATATAGATGGCCATCTCCTTCCTATGTCTCTCCATATGTCTTCCTCTGTCTTCCCTCTGTAAGTATCTGTCTCTGTCCCCAGATTTCTCTGCTTTTATAAGGACATCAGTCATATTGAATTCAGGCCCACCCTAATTGCATTATTTTAACTCGATTACCTCTTTAGAGACCTATGTCCAAGTAAGATCACATTTGGAAGTACTTGGGGTTAGAACTCCAACACATGTTTTTTTTTGGAGGGGTTGGGGAACAAAATTTAGTTCATCATAACTGGGTTAATGATAGTTAACATTTATTGAGTGACTTTCATGTTCCAGATGCTATATATATACATATGCACATTTATGTGAGTGTATATGTATATATATGCATGTATGTATATATAGATATGTAATATCCAATATATGTATGCATATATGTTTTATGATCCTTGCAACAGCCCTGTGAGGAAGATGTTATTTCTCCCATTTTGCAGGTGAGAAAACAAAATGTCAGAGAGGATAAGCAATTTGTCCAAAGTCATATAGCTTGTAAATATTCAATGCTGGTATTTGAACCTAGCATCCCGTGCTGCTTTTAAATGGATAAACCTGATAAAAACTCAGTCAAAAGCCCAAAGATACTTTGAACATTTAAGGTTTTTGTGTTTTGTTGTTGTTGTTGTTGTTGTCATTAGGACTTGTGTCAAGGGACATTTTATCTATCAAAAATGGTGCATAAATGCCTAATCACTGACTGCCGACGTGTTTACTCCTGAATTTTTTACTGACAATTGTCTTCGAAGGCTTAGTGTTTTAGCGCTCCTGAACCTGATAAAGCTTTTGGACAGGATGGAATCTGAACATAGACTGCAAGCGTTGATTCTGGCCCCCATTTGTATGGATGGCACTGAGAGACAAGTCATGCCCAGAGTCTGCTACTCAGCACTTGTGCTTTCTACTCTCCTTTTCTCTCACTCCCTCCCCTTCCTCATCTTTTTTTTTTCACTATTTACCAGGTAGCTTGTGATTTTTTTCTTTTATCCAGTCTTTGCCATAAGTGATAAACATCAAAAGGGGATGGAGTGAAGAGTCACAAAATTGGGAACATTTCTGCTTACATGAAAGCCAGTTCACTTGTAGGTGTGTTGTGTACCCTGGCCACAGGCTTATTGTTATTCACACTAAAGAGCAAGGCACATTGTGTACCTTACATAAGTTTTCCAACTTACCAATGAAAACAGTTTGTTTCTCACTTTGAAGCTTTAAAGCAGAACTTGTTCATGACCCAATTTCACTAATAATTCTCTTAAGTAACCCTTGTACTCATTTAAAGATTTTTTTCCACCCACTGTCTGTCTAGCCTGGTTTAAAATTTTTATATATGTACTTTTAAAAAATTGATTAGCTGGAGAGCTGCCCATTCCTCTGTGCTGTATAATAAGGATTTTAAAACTGCACACTGAATTCTGTATAGTGTAATTAAAACTGACCCACATTTGGACCTGAGTACACCAGGACTTAGCCAAACTTGCCATGAGCTGAGTTCTGGTGGCAGATGGGAACTAATGAGGACACACTCCACTCCAGAATTTCCCAGCTGCTTGGCCCCTTTTTGTACAAACAAGGTTTGGAGCGAAGTCCGGATCCCAAGAGCATGTTCTGTAAATGTGCTGTACCCAATGATTTGGGAAATGTTCTCACAAAATTGGGCTGTTTCAAGGTATCCATAAGGCCTCAGTGACTTTCAGATTTAAATTCAAAGAGGCCTTTGTGCTTTCTACAACCAATTTTTAATTTTAAAGTGAATAAAACATCGCATTCCCCCATCTTTTCTCTTATGCCTGGTGATGGAATGATCACTTTATATCACAACCTGGAAATTTGCAGGTCATTATCTCAGAGACAGTTGTCCATCAGGATAGACAAAGTCTCCTTGCAACCTATGGATCTCTTCAACTAGTTTGATGTCCTGGGACTATTCAGGCAGATGTAATTGAATCAGTTTGAAGCAGCTGTAGCTGGCATGTGGTCTCTCAGATTGCTAGCACCTGCTTGTTTTTTTGCAACTCACTAGAGTGAGAGAAGTGCCAAAACCAGCATTGGTCTTGGAGCAGATAAAGCACTCCAGATCTTATATCCCATTCCCCTTCCAACCTAGCCACATCATCACTGGTGCCGAAATTAATAAAATCCCTTTTCATGATTAGGTCTGAGGTATACTTTTACTTCTCATTCTTCTCTGTATTCAGATCCTGACAGTACTGACCATGCAAATCCAAAAAAATAAGGGAGTATAATGGTGATCAGGTGGCTTTGGGGCTCTCTTATCATTAGACAACTGGGTAGCCTGTGGTTTGCAGAATCATTTAAATGAATGCACCAAATTTATTTGCTGTTCCAGCACAGTCTTATTGGCACAGAGAATAAGCAGTTAATGTATAACAAACTGTGAGCTGTTATGGAATATGATGAATACACTTCCTTAGCAAGACGGAATGTAAAATGGAGCTATCTCTCTAAAATAAGGTCTAAACTAACCACTGTGGATTTCTTCAACACTTACTATGTGCAGGAAAATGAAGTATACTAAAAGAGAGATACAAATTTTAGGACATAATAAGTATGTAAAATATATTTTGAAATACACAGATTTGGATATTTTTTTTTTTTGGAGATGGAGTCTCGCTCTGTCGCCCAGGCTGGAGTGCAGAGGCGCGATCACGGCTCACTGCAACCTCCACTTCCTGGGTTCAAACAATTCTCCTGCCTCAGCCTTCCGAGTAGCTGGGACTACAGGTGCCCGCCACCACACCCGTCTAGTTTTTTGTATTTTAGTAGAGACGGGGTTTCACCATGTTGCCCGGGCTGGTCTCAAACTCCTGAGCTCAGGCAATCCACCTGCCTGGGCCTCCCAAAGTGCTAGGATTACAGGCATGAGCCACCACGCCTGGCTGGATTTTTAAAAAATGTTTAAACTCATTTAAGAAGTAGTTATCTTCTCTTTGTTTCATTTTATTATTTGGCAGGTATATATTTAATCGTTAAGTGTTATCAATATCCTAATGTTGAATTTGAATCTGGTCATGGTAAAGACAATATATTTACTTACATTTTATAGCTTATGTTACAAAGTTTTTCTAAAATGGGTTCAATATTGATAATATTTTGAGAGAAGCTATGACATAAATGGAGTTCACAATAGTAATAAGAGTGAATTCTAAAATGGTAATTTATTGTCATCAGCAAATGCCTATGTTTCAAGGCATGACTACATGCTGTGAGCATAGAGAAGTATTACATGCAAGAATCTTATGATACTTGAGGAGACATGATACAGGTTTTTTAAAAAATAAAACAAGGCACTCTCAGTGTCAAATTGCATGCTTAGACCTGGATTTGGTGTAAAATAAATGCTACAAACATTTTTTTTAAGTTAGGCAGTCTATTTGTGAAGTCAATGTTCTAAATTCAGCATCCCCTGTCTCCCCTTCACTGTCCATGAAACAACACTAATCCATTATGGCTGTCTCTGTCACTACACCAAAACTTGACCTCAGAGTCCCTCTGAAGACAGTACTTTGACAGCCATACCAATTGTTGGAAGTTTCATGTAATAGGAAACCCATTTGCCATTGTTGAAAAAGAATCATTAAGTGCTAAAGATATTTAGTGGAGGCAGAGATCTCTGTGAACTGCTGGGAAGAGGCTGAACTTAAGCTGGGCCTTGAAAAAAACATGAAGCATAGGACATAAGGAAATAGAAAGGAGAACATCAAGCATCGCCA
The DNA here is from genome assembly GCF_000001405.40 of Homo sapiens. Classification (NCBI taxonomy): domain Eukaryota; kingdom Metazoa; phylum Chordata; class Mammalia; order Primates; family Hominidae; genus Homo; species Homo sapiens. Next base: position 114,890,932 of record NC_000003.12, on the reverse strand, counting down.
AGCTAAGTAATGCATACAAGTGAGTTCAGATTGGAATTATGTGGCATAGTCAAAGATAACGAATAGACCTCAGGTGTAAATAAATAAGTGGTTATATAATTATTAGTTTAATGTTTTTCTCCTCCGCCAGACTGTAAACTCTGTGAAATGTGATAATATTATTATTATTTTTCTTCCTTTTTTATTATACTTTAAGTTCTAGGGTACATGTGCACAATGTGCAGGTTTGTTACATATGTATACATGTGCCATGTTGGTGTGCTGCACCCCTTAACTTGTCATTTACATTAGGTACATCTCCTAATGCAATCCCTCCCCCGTCTCCCCACCCCAGGACAGGCCCGGTGTGTGATGTTCCCCACCCTGTGTCCAAGTGTTCTCATTGTTCAATTCCCACCTATGAGTGAGAACATGCGGTATTTGGTTTTCTGTCCTTGTGACAGTTTGCTCAGAATGATGGTTTCTAGCTTCATCCATGTCCCTACGCTACTCAGACCATCCTATCCGAGTTAGATCTCCCATGTGTTTCTGTAGGTTCTTATTGTTTTCATTCACATACACAATTTACTTCACAGTTTACGGTGCAGATTATCACTGCCAAGATTCTGTATGAGGAATATAGGGGAACTCAAAGAAGATTTTGTTCTTTTTAAATTTATTTAAGAACAATAATTTTTTAAGAAGCTGATTTTTATTTTTATAAATACTGTGGTGCTTTCAACACTGGCTTGGAGGAATTTCTATTTTAACTGCAGTATTTAAGAATTTTACTGTTAATACATATCTCTGGTTTCAGGGAATAAAGAGACAATATAATAGAGTAGAAAGAGTACAGGGTTTAGAAATAGAAGAGAGGGATTTAAGTTTCTCTGTTATCACTTATTGGCTATGAGATATAGGCAGCTCTTCGTGTGCTTTTACGCTCAGTTTCCTCATCTGTAAATTAGAGATGACAACATACCAAAGCACTTTAAAATTAAAAACATCTCTTCTTCTTCCTCCTCTCATTAGTCATCATAATCATAATGCTATTCTGAAACCATGTAATAAAATATGGTCTTCTGTATAGATCCTTTTTTTTCTACCACTTATTATTTGCTCTAGTTATTGCAGATTTACTCTACACCTTGAGTAGAGCATTATACTAATCTAAAAAGAAGCAAGAATTCCAGAAACACCCTATAACCTAGTCATGGCTAATATTTACTGTTGAGTTATTTGCACCTCAATAACAGTTCTCTGTCATTTGTAATATAACTGCTTAATATTAATAATTTATGTATTAAAAGTAAATGTTTTATACCAATCCCAAACAGTGCCTTTTTATGATTTATTTTTTATTCACTCATTCATTTAATGCAAATTATTGTAGCTACTGACACAAATGTATTCACTTTCTACCTGATTATATAGGAATACCCTAATTATCTATATTCACATCTTATTGAACTTATAAAGTGTTAGGAGACCAGTGTCTGAGAAAAAAAGTCAAATATAAATAGATTCATCTCTGAGTTGTAAGAACCTTTTGTTCCCACCTTTAGAATATTTGGTGACTAATTAATTACTAATAGTAATTAATGCACAACTCTTAAGTTAAAAAACCAAAAGAAAAAGAATTTGATATTTGCAGTTTTCTAGGAAGTTAACGTTTTCATTCTTTCCTGCTTTAAACATGTAATATCTAATAGTTAATATCTGCATGTATCATCCTTATGGTTTTGAGAGTCTTTAAGGGAAATTATGAATACAATTTCTATTTTTCTAAACGAAAGGATTTCTGTGCATTAGGGTAAAAATGTGTGAATAGATATTTCACACATTCATATTTGTGTAAAATATATTTTCAAAATATATTTCTTAAGCTATTTAAAAATATATTTTTAAAAGTATTTAAACTTTTTACACTACATTTCATTGTTATATTTTGTTAAGCATATCAAAAGAAGATTATACCACAGGTTATGACTTTTTAAAGGTAAAAAAATTAAATAAGGTAGGACTATCTGAAAGTTAAGATTTAAGTGTAAGTACATAAAAATATGCACAGAAAGTAAATAGAGATATTGAAAATTAACTAAAATGTTGCTTCTATAATGGCTTAAATTTGTGTAGCAAATAGGATAGCTGAGTTTAGTATTACTTAAGAAATGGTTAATTTTGTATATCAGGAGACAATTCAAACATAATCTTTAATCATGCTGATCTGATGCCTCAAGCCGTGATCTGTATACTTATTAGGGTCTTTGCCAAGTCTCATGATAGTATATACTCTAGACCAAAATAAAATTGATTTTCCTCTATGTAAATTTGTTACTGATATTATATTTAAATTTCCATTGATGAAAAATAGGTATATTTACTCTCTGAATCAAGTTCTTCAGGAACATAAATAATTTTTTATTTGAGAACTGATTTATGTCCAATTAAGTAATTTCCAGTATACTTTTGCTATTGATCATATATCATTGTAAGATATTAATTATTTACATCAATATACCACTTGGATTTTTAAAAATATAAAGGCCTCACTTTGTCACCCAGGCTGGAGTGCAGTGGCATGATCATGGCTCACTGCAGTCTCAACCTCCCAGGCAGTCCTCCCATCTCAGCTTCCCAGTAGCTGGGACTACAGGTGTGCACCACCATGCTCAGCAGATGTTTAAATTTTTTTTTTGTAGAAATGGGGGTCTCACTATGTTGCCCATGCTGGTCTCAAACTCCTGGGCTCCAGCAGTCCTCCTGCCTCAGCCTCCCAAAGTGCTGGATTTACAGGCGTGAGCCACTGCACCCAGCCTATTAATTTTCTTTTCTTTCTTTCTTTCTTTTTTTTTTTTTAATGACCAATTCCACGTTAAGATCAGTTTCTGGCTTGCTTGAAAGGATTGGATCAGAAGATGTTGCATCACTTTTGGAGGGCATCTGCATTTGATTTAAGAGGGAACAGCTCCAAATAGAGGGCAGTACATTTCGTTTGAGGCTTACTACTACCAGAAACCATCACTGCAACCTCTTAAGTTTTCTCATTGATTTTTATTTGTCCTTATGTGCTCCTATCAATTGGGGGCTTTGAGATCACTATTTACACTTATAAAACTTCTGTATGTCTTCCTCTGTTTTAGTCCTAGAGAGTACAGGGAAAGTGTACTAGTTACCTATGGCTGCTGTAGTAAATTATGATAAACTGGGTGACTTAAAAACGACAGAAATTTATTCTCTCACAGTTCTGGAGGCTAGAAATCAGAAATCAAAATGCAGCAGGGCCACATTCCCTCTGAAGGCTCACAGTGAAAATCTTTCCCTGGCTCTTCCAGCTTCTGATGGTCCCATTTATTCTTTGGCTTTTGGCACTATGACGTCAAACTCTGCCTTCATCTTTACAGCACCTTCCCCTCTGTATGTGTCCCTCTGTGTCCTCTCCTCCTATTAAAAGCATATCAGTTATTGGATTTAGGGCCCACCTTAAATCCAGGATGATTTTATCTCATGGTTCTTAATTAGTTGCATCTGCAAGGACCGTATCTCCCAGGAATGTTACATTCTGAGGTTCCAGGTGAACATGAAATTTTGGGGACTCTAGTCAACATTCAACCTACTATAGAGAGTAATGTTATTTTTTGGTAGTAAATATCTATGGAAGACTTATTTACACACTGCTATGGTTTGAATTTTTGTCCCCTCCAAAACTCATGTTGAAAGTTAAGCCCCAGTGTGGCAGTATTGAGAGCTGGGGCCTTTAAGAGGTGGGTCATGAGGGCCCATGAATGGATGAGTCTTTTCTTGGGTTAATGAATTACTGGGTTATCATGGGAATGGGACTGGTAGCTTTATAGAAACATAAAGAGAGACCTGCGCTAGCACAGTCTGCCCCCTTGCCATGTGATGTCCTACGTTGTCTCAGGATTCTAGAGTGTTGTCACGGCAAGAAGGCTTTCACCAGTTTTGCTCCCTCAACCTTGGACTTCCCAGCCTCCAACTATAAGAGATAAATTTCCTTTCTTATAAATTGCTGAGTTACAAGTATTCCGTTATAGGCGACAGGAAACAGACTAAGACATATGCTAACATGTTAATTATTTTTCCCCTCGGTATTTGACAAAGTTTATCCTGTCCTCTGTTTTTAGAATACTTGTAGCCTTAGCACCTTGGTATTTTTTATGAATTTCATGGAATTATGAATCATTTTCTGTCATACTTTTTTAAACTACTGAAACTTCTCATTATAGATGACAAGGTTGAGGCATAGAATAGGTAACCAACAGTCACTAACTCTGCAGATGGACTGCAGAACTAAAAACTGACATTGGTATCATCCAACTTTTCTGTCAATCCATGTGTGTTGAGATGCCAAATATACTCTTATAGTCCATGGTACTTTCACATAACTTTACTTGTGACCTAAGTAAATCAAGAGTTGCAGAAAATGTTTTTCGTAATGATCTCCAGATAATATAAGCCAAGTATACAATTGAAATTTAGTGTCGTAGATGGACAAAAGTATTGTGCTGGATGACTGCATGTTGAGATCACAATCCGTCTAATTTCTCTGCTTAGCATCGGCCAGGTCTTTATTAGAGAACTATGGATATGGCCATACGTACAAATACACATCCATTAAATGAACACTGGAATCATGAATATCCAGGTCTAGATTAAAAGAGCAAGCCCAAGGCTCAGAAAGTTAATTTCTAACTTTAAATAGCTAGTAAATGGCTGACACAGGACTAAACTCAGCTCTGCTCAACTCAGACACCTGTTTTTCTATTTCTCCCAAGTTGATTCTCAAACTGCAGGAAATCTTTGTGTTTTCCCCTTTTAAGTAAGGAGCAGACCACTATTAGGGTGAGTGGGTAGAGGGAGCAGAAGGTGAAGTAAACCATTCCTAAAATAATTGGGATATAATTGGAAGCATTTGCTGACCCTTTCCACCTCATGGTTGTAGGATATTACAAGTATGTTTTCTTTAAGAATGCTCAATAAGCCAACATAGATAAATTTGAATTTTAAACATAGATAATTAATAGAGTGATTATATTAATTAATCAGAACCAGTATTATAGGTCTCATCTACTGAACATTTCTTTTAACTTTCAGCTCTTTTGGTGCACTTCTGTTCTGGATAAAATATAATTGTATGCTCAGAGGACAGAAAAATTTTACAAATGAGCTTAGGCTTCCCTGCCAGAAAAGAAAGGATGAAATAGAAATGAAAATGAAAATTAAGTAATCCCTGAAATGATAATATAGTTAAATGTGAAAATATGCCTTTGATAATACCAAACTGGGATTTGCACCCAAAACACATTAATTGAATTAACCTGTTTTAGTTTGTCTTGTATCTGTTGCCGAAAAAAAAAAAAGAAGAAACTATTATTTTGTTAGATAGCAGATTTCTTTCTGGTGTTGATTACTCTTCTATCATGAGTAAATAATTACAATTCAGTTGATCTCAGGCACTAGAGACAGAGCTCTGAACTAGAAGACCGAGAGAGAGACACTAAACAAATTAACATACAACTACAACAAAAAGGATGAAGAATGGCTGGTAATCCGGAGGCAGGGTGTAGGTGTCCTTTCTGAGGAAATAAAGTTTGAATTATAAGACTTGAATGACGTGAAGGAGCCATTCAAGGGAAGATCTTGTGTACAAGAAATGCAATCTCTAAATCATTACAGGTTACACAGAGTTGTGCATCCAAGGTTTGTGTGTATTAGAGTAGCTGTGGCAAGGGAGGAGTGTTCTGTCAACTATTAACAATGTACAGTTGGGAGGTCTGCTTCTTCAGGGGCAACCAGTTTATCCTCCTCTTTATCCTGGTACTAAATATAGCCATAGTAAGCATTTGGGAATGGATTAAAAATGCTTAACCAAATCTCCTTAAACTTTGCCATATCCTATAAATTTTAACCATATCTCCTGAAATTTTGTTATTTCTGAAAGCAGAACTAAGTTTGGCCACAAAGGGAGGGATTGAATTCATTGCTACTCTTAGCTCTCCCTAGCAATTTCATTGTCTGCTCTGGTACCAGGGTTTGTTAGAGGAGCTACAGGGGTTTTTGAGCCATCATTTCTCCCTTTCGCAAATCACTTCTTCAAGTAGTAGTATCAGCCCTTTTCCTCCTTTTCTGTATATCAAGACTGAAACTGAAAATGAAGGGTTAAACTTATTTTTTTTTATTAGTCTCATAGGAGCCCAAGATTTAACATAGAACTTTTTCGGAATATATAGTTATCTCTCCATTTGAGGTGAGCACAGGATGTCTATTTTTCTCATTTCTACTTTCATCTTGAAACAGAAATTTCACCAAAAGCTTCATTCAAAATGTTTTATTCATAGCTAAGCAAAGATGTATGGTAGTAAATCATTGAAACTGATGATCTTTGATTGAATTTTCCTTAGTTTAATGTGTCTAATCAACTGTTCATTCACCACATTATTTTCCCATTGCTCGATGTTATACCAGATAACAGTATTACCATGACCCAGGCTGATACTATGTGAAAAAATGCACAAGGAAGTAGGCCGTCTACTGTGAACATTTGAAAAACACAGTCAGATGACAGTTTCAGAAATTGTGAGGTTTTTAGATGTGAGAATCTAACTTTTTTCACTACAGATACTAAAAATCTATCAATATACTTTTTAGTAGGCTTTAGCCACATCCTAATTTACAAATGTACCTATGGTGTGTGATTAAGAACACACCGGCCGGGCGCGGTGGCTCACGCCTGTAATCCCAGCACTTTGGGAGGCCGAGGCGGGCGGATCACGAGGTCAGGAGATCGACACCATCCCGGCTAAAACGGTGAAACCCCGTCTCTACTAAAAATACAAAAAATTAGCCGGGCGTAGTGGCGGGCGCCTGTAGTCCCAGCTACTTGGGAGGCTGAGGCAGGAGAATGGCGTGAACCCGGGAGGCGGAGCTTGCAGTGAGCCGAGATCCTGCCACTGCACTCCAGCCTGGGCGACAGAGCGAGACTCCGTCTCAAAAAAAAAAAAAAAAAAAAAAAAAAAGAACACACCATTCTTACCAGTTATACCCCTTGAATCTTACCAAGGAAATTCCCATGGTTCTGTCCTTATCACAATGGAACCCAGAAATGAAGGAATGAACTACTTGCTTTCTTAGAAATACCACAGTGCAGACTTTGCTGTATCTAACAGATATGACCATATAATTTGTCATCTGAATAACGATCGAGAGATTTTTGCTTTAAAAATATATAACCAAATGATAGGAATATTAAGTCACAATGGAAGAAGGCCATTATTATACTGAAGCCTCAAGTACCACAAATTAAAAACAAGATGGATATTACTATTTTAACTTGTGAGCATGCACTATCAGGTTATCCAATATCAAAAACATATTAAGAGTGCTTGTGGCAATATATACCTGAATTATAAATGAATGTTGATATTTTGACATTATTTTGTATATATGAGAGCATTAATCAAGGTTAGATTCAACAAGTCAGCTTCGTGGTTGTGGCTTTAAGTTGGCAGTGAAGTATGTAAGTAATACATTTCTGATCAGTTTTGTTTGATAGTCTTGTTTCAACACCTTGGCAGAACTAAACCATTGAGACCCAGAGGTACTTGTGCATGGGGATGGTCTTTAAGATAATATTTAGTTTATTCAATGAGCCAAAATTTTCAGTACATTTATTGTTTGTTTTTGTCATAAAGACATGGCTACAGTCTACATACAAAATACCAAGTAGAGATTTGTTTATTGTAGTAGGTACAGGTGCTCAAAATTGATATTTAAGTCTCAAACATATTTTTCCACCATTCTGTATTGGATTATTAACACATGAAAATATGTACTGTTAGAACTATAAGGTAACTTACAGATTATTCTTTGAGCTAATTTAATTATTATTTTACAAATGAGGAAATGAAATCCCAGTGAAGTTGAATGATTTACTGTGGGACTAGAGAAGTCTAGAATGAGAAATTTAACAGTGCAGTACTCTTTACTTCCATGTATATACCTTTCACCATTTACCATTACACTGAACAATCTTTCTGCTATTTGTATTTTTAAAATGTGCTCACAGGGTTAAAAAATTTGAATGGTACACAAGGATATAAAGTGAAAAGTATGTCTTTACCGACTGATAGCACTATTCACCAGAGATAAAAAGTTTCAACTGTACTTGCGTAGAGAAATGTGTCTATATACCTTTAATTTAAAAACAGAAAGGGAATCATACTGTTCAAATACATTTGTACTTTTTTCTTAATGCCATGTCTTAGAGATTTTATATATTCTAGAAATTTTATAGTGTTTATATTTTGGTATATTATATTTTACCTTTTCCTCTTTTTAAACAGCTACTTAATATTTCCATTTTATGGATGTCACAAAATGTATTTAACCACTGCCTATTTATGGAAATTTGGTTATTTACAGTTTCTTCGCTGTTTAAAAATATTACAAAACAGCTTTCTAAATATATCCTTGTTTTTATTTTAATATCCACATAGCATACTTTCTTAGATATGTTTATATAATTAAAATTTTGATGCCTGTTAAAAATTTTCCTTCAAAAACATTTTTCTGACACACACATGTAACAACATTATATGAGAATTCCTGCTTTCTCACAGCCTCATCAGTACTGGGCTTTAGCAAATTTTTCCTAATCAGAAAAGTGAAAATGATATTTCACCATTGTTTTGATTTACATTTCTTTACTCAGGAGTTAGATTAAACAACATATTAAAATTTCACTGGCCATTTACATTTTTGTTTACTTTTTTGTGAATTGGCTATAATACTTTTCTGTATTTTTCTATTGAGTTTTTAAAAATATTTTATTGGTTTGTATAGCCTCTTTGTATATTATGGAAAATAAATTTTCTGTAGTATGTGTTAGACATATTTCTTGGTTATTAATTTGCTTTTTGAGTTTTGTATATGTAGAAAAATTTTTTATGTAGTTTCATTTTTTCAATAATTTCCTTTATGGCTTAGAAAACTTCTTACACCAGAAAAATTACTCAGATTTTCTTCTAGCACATTTATGATTTAGTCTCTTAATATTTACATCTTTGATTCAACCAAAACTTATTTTTGAGAATGAAAATAAAGTTTAATTTTATCACTTGAAATAAAAGCACCAATTTTTTTAATTCTTTGAAATTTCATGAATTTTAGATTTTTCTGAAGCTTTATGAACTTTTTAGGAAGGCAGCGATCATCACTAAGGTAAAAAGAAAGCATATTAGACCAAGAAATGTAATTTTAAAATTGACATTTCTTATTACTTATCAATCCCTGATGTCTATTCTTGGTGACATAGGAAAATCCCAAGAAAACATCTTCTTTATAAAAATATATAATTATATTTTGCTAATTTAAGCAATGATTAAATCAGTGAAACCATCATAGAATAAATCAAACCCCTAGTGAGATACTTTTAACAGCAAATCCAGTTCATATGGTAATACTAATTTTATTTACTTAACAAAAGCACTTACTTATCAGTAAGACCCTATATCTGTACAAATGAAATCAAAATGTGAAAGTTGTAATTTAAGCGGGACACAATAGCTTGGTGATAAATAGATTTATTTGTACCTTGAAAAGTTCACTTCAAGTAATCATTGTTATTAAAAGGCAATTATTTCACATGGTTTTTGTAAGCATAAAAAGCAGATTGGAGACTCTTTCTAAGAGTTGTGCTGACTGACATCTTTGTAAGATTTGTAAATAAGTGAAAGATCCATTCAGCTAGAAAAGTTGAATATTCAGTAATAAAAGAACATTGACCAGTTTAACATCTATTATATTTACATCTGTAGTTGACAAGGAGAGAAGTAAATATAGGTGAAATGTGAAATCTAAGTAGGAGAGAGGGATTAGGAAATGTCATTTAACTTTTTTCCTACTCTTCATTTTATTTTTAATATCATATTTATATTTCCTTTCTAAAAGTAGTACGCTATCAGTGTAAAACTATTTGGAAAACACAAAAAGACAGAAAGAAGACAAGAAAATCACCATTGATATTACTATTACCACTTAAAGAAAAAGTTATTCTTAATATTTTGGTGTGTATATGTATGTGTGCATGCAACAACATAGGATTATGCAAGGTTATGATTCTGATTTTTCAACTAGCAATATATTATGAATATTTGTTTCTGTCAATATTTTTTGTGACATGATTTTTTTAATTGATTATATAGTATTCCATACAATGGATGTGTTATAATTTACCTAGCTGATCTCTAATTTTTGGACATGTAAGTTGCTTCCAATTTTTCTCCAGTAAACATGAATTACAATGAATATTATTGTGACAATCTTTTTTATAAACATCCCTGATTATGTCATCAGGTAAATACTTAAGTGTAATAATTGAATCAAAGATATATGTATTTTAAGGGTTTTGATACATTTAGCTATACCATTTACACATTGCTGTGTCTGTCCCAGCAGTCTCTGAAAGTATCTATTTGTTCATATCCTCATCAGTTCTTGGCATAAAACTTAATATGGTTCAAAGAAAAACTCTCAGTGGTCTGGGAAGAATGAATACAAAGAGGTGGGAAGAGGTCAAGCAGAGGTAAGTGATGTTTTTGTCTAAGAGATGTTGCAGGCAGCCTCAGGCTATGGAGAACAGCTTTCTCCAAAGCAAACTTGCACTTTCAAAGGCGGCCCGGACTCTGCGTGCTAACTTGGCACAGTTGAGATGTCTCTGTTTGCTTTAAGGCAGTGGCCTGACCCTTCAAGCACACCCCATGTATTCAGTGATCGAGACCACTTACTCATACTAATCATTGCACACAGAAAATACATAAAAGATTTGTATTCATCACTCAATATATTTTGCTCCTCAAGTGTCATGAAACATTCAGGGTACATTAACTGGCAAATGCACACCTGGAGTATGTTACTTAGCTTTAGAAACTGCTAATTTTTAAAAAATCAAATATTTAATTTTGAGGAAAAAAATCAGTTTTGGATTTTGAGCATATATATCATCTTTCATTTTGGCCCAATTAACCCAGCAGGTGTGTGTAAATTAGGTCACTACTTTGTCACCGTGGTAACATGCATTGGGGAGGTGGATCTTAACCACCTCCAGCACAGGTGATGTTGGCTGAGTTGGTATTAAGAGGTGCTTTAGAAACAAACAAGGCAGAATTTAATATGTTAGAGTGTAGAAAATAGGTCTGACGTCGGATACCAACAGATAATTCTATCACACAAAAGCAAGTACTGCCTCAAATCCGTATAAATAAGGAAGATCTAATGAGCCTCAGAAACAGGAATTGTATTGTAAAACTTACTGACAATCTCTGAAAGAACAGACACTATAGCACTCAGGAGGCGGTAGTCTCATTTCCTCATGGAGCAAGGGATTTGAAGGTCAGGGTCAGGTTCTCTGCAATTTAAGGCTGTTTTTAGAACTAAGCCGTGGTTTTCGGAGGATCAACAACTTCCTGACTACTCATTCCAGTGACTAGATTTTAGTCACTACTGAGGGTTTTTTTTTAAAGTGCAGTGTCTAATTATTTCTTTTAAATGCTGTTTGGATCATTATTCATAATTGTTTATGGGTTAAGAAGTTGGCAGAGTTGGTTTATGCCAGCACTCCAGCACTCATACAGTCCCCATAACTCAGGCTTCTTCTCACCAGGTGGAAAATCAGACATGCTTCAAGATCGCTAGTTGAGATTGTGCAATCTGTTTGGCTGCTAAAGGTTCCAAATTATGTGGGCATTCTGCAGCCCCACAGAGTGGTAGAATTTCTTCACTTATCACTGACAAGTTCACACTTCTTTGGGTCACTAAAATTGTAAATTTGCATTATCAGATGCAGAAAACAGGCCAAATTAATAATGTTAAATATATGTCCAAGGAAATGCATCTCCCATGACCATTTGCAGCACCCAGATACGGATGATAATTCCATCGAGGCTTTGGTGCCAATTCGTACCTGGCTTTATAATTTTCAGTTTGCCCTTATGTCCTGCTTTACATTTGTATAGCTTGTTATAATCTTGAAGCATTTTTGTGTACCATATTTCTTTTTTGTGTGTTATTTTAGACATGGCATTTCAGAAACTTGAATGAGCCTAGTGTTTATTTTCAGTTGGTTGTGACCGCAGCTTTATTAGTTATTTTGTGTGTTTTCAATAATTGTTAATATTTACAAAACACTGAACAAACCTCTTCAAGATTGCTTTACATAATCTCCTTTTCCATGTGTCAAGGATGAGAGCTACAGAGAGAAGAGTCATAGTGACTCACCCCGTATCACAGAGTATGTGAATTTACTTTCAAAGGAGAGTCAAGGGTCCCTGGTTTTCAGTTCTTTTTTTTTTTTTTTTTTTTAATTCTCCAAGAGTCATGCAGGTTTGGAGACTTACAAAGGGATAGCATTGCTGAGTGGAGAAACATTTGACTCAAGTACTCTTTTACCCCTAACATCTATTTTACCATTTCCCTCCCTATATTCAAGTCTTCTTTTCCATCATCTCTCCAGTAGATGCTGAAAACCATTTCTTTTTGAAGAGCTGGTTCATATGATAAAGACCCAAAGTCTCAATAAAATCTATTAACCTGTTAAGGGTAAGTGTATGCATTGTTCACTGGAGAGCATGATGCCATATTCTACCCTGTCTGCTTGGGAACAAGGCCGATGGCAGCACAAATTAGCATCAGAACAGAGCTTTATCGCAGTGGAATCCCAGGTTGTTTTAGGAATGAGACACGAAACAAAAATAGATAAAGGGATTAAATCTATCAAATATAATAGAGGAAATTGTAGTAGATTCAGGGAACTTGGACCCCTGAATTGTAGTAACCAAACTGGAGAGGAAATGGACAGTTAAACAAAGTAGGGCTGTTTCTTTTTTTCATTGTTTGATGAAATAATTTTTGCCCCTTTTAAATGGTATGTTAAAAGAGAAAGAGGGAGCCTGGTATATCTGAAACAAAGAGCTTACACAGTCACCAAGCTGGTTGGTTTTTATACCTTCCTTTACTGAGTATTGTCCTTCAGTACAATACAGAGCCATTTCTTTGTTCTCACAAGCTAGCAGTTAAATTGTATGTAAATGTATGCAAATTAGATGCTGTCTAATAAAGAGAGTCATTAGATGGAAGAAATATTTAGTTTAGAAAAAAAAGCAGGTGTATTGTGTAAAAGAAAATGTAAGGCTACAAAAAAAGCCCAAACTTTTGTGGACAGTTATAGAAAAAATTATTAAAATAGATTTTTAAAAGACTTACGTCTTCCTGACCTTTCTTTTGTGCTTATATATATGTGTGTGTTTTAAAAATATTTACATATAAAACTAAGGGATTGGCTTCTTTCCCAGAATTACTGGAAGCACCTTCACCAGGAACATTTGGACTTGAATAATCTCCACAGCAGCATTTTCCTTCTTGAATTAAATGAATTGTAAAATGAATGATTTGCCCAAGAACACTGACTGCTTATTTGGGTTCCTTTCCCGTAGGTTGATAGAGGCTTAGTGGCTCCATGATGTGTATCTTGCTATTTTAAGGTTTCCTTTCCACACTACTCCACTCCAGCCTCTCTAATATGAACTTCTTAATAGAGACCTAGACTATAAGCTCCTTGAGAGGAACCAACAGTTCCTTTTAAACTTTATCAATGCTGTATTCAGTGTTTAGCACAATGCCTAGTATTTACTAGCACTTCTATCTATTTTTTAATAAATGAATGGTTGGTTTTAATGGTTGATTAAGTAGTTATGGGTATGTCAAACACCTTTGTATTCTCTAGCATATAGTTATTGAAACAATTTCTCAGGCTTGCATTTAGCAATTATATAGTAAATGCCTAGTGAAAAAAATAGTTTACCATCCAGTTTCCTTAAGCCAACTGTAACAAAGGTGTTGAGTGTTCACCACTACATTATTTATTGTGGCAGCTATTTCTGGGGCAAAAATGAATAGGCAGCATAGTTCTGTTTAGGAGCAGCTAATCTACTAAAGGTATCAGATAGATATACACATATTTAATAAATAGTACACTGTACTATGGAAGCATGAGATAAAATATTATGGAAGCATTAGAGAGAAAGAGAGAATTTCCAATCTATGGGTATCATAGGTGGTTTCTTGGAGGAAAGTGGAACTGAACTAAGCCTCGAAGTTGGTAAGGAACAGATGGTTGGCTATGGTAGGGTGGAGAAAAGCAGAGTTGCAGAATTCTCTTATGTTGTAGTCCCAAATTAATAGTAATGTACTAGATTTTCTTCTCCTCTCTTGTGAATTTCCAGCAACAGCTTGATTTTAACCTCCACAGAAACACAAATGAGAGCTGTGATGGAAACAATAATTACTAGAGTCCAGTTTTAACTCCAAGTCAAAATTTTAGTCACATTCAGCCCTGAATAAGAAATAAGGCAAAGCATGCAACAGGACTTTATAACTTTTTAATTTTAAGGCATTATAAATATAAATTTTTATTTTATCTTATTTTTTTAGAGATGGGGTCTTGCTCTGTTGCCCAGACAGGAGTGTAGTGGCACCTTCTTAGCTTACTGCAGCCTTGAACTGTTGGGCTCAAGCGATCCTTCTGCCTCAGCCTGCTGAGTATGAGGATGCAAAGGCATAAGAATGACACAATGGACTTTAGGGACCAGGGGGAAAGGGTGTGAGGGATAAAAGACTACAAATTGTGTGCAGTGTATACTGCTCAAGTGATGAGTGCACCAAAATCTCACAAATCACCACTAAAGAACTTACTCATGTAACCAAACACCACCTGTTCCCCAATAACCTATGAGAATAAAAAATTAAAAAAAAAAAAAACAAACTACAGGTGCATGCCACCATACCCCGCTAATTTTAAAAAAAATTTTGTAGAGATGGGGATCTTGCTGTTTTGCCCAGGCTGGTCTTGAACTCCTGGCCTCAAGTGATCTTCCTGCCTTGGCCTCCCAAAGTGCTGGGGTTACAGGTGTGAGCCACTGCACTGAGCCTAAAATTTATTATTCATAATGTATAATATTGTCCATGGTGTGAAATAAAATTTGGGGGATAGGAGATTTAGGGACCTAGAATGGAATACCTCATGTACGTAAAGTGTCTTGCAGTTCACAAAGCACCTTCCTAAATTATTATTTTAATTACAGTTATTGAGGTAGCAGAACTGGTGTTATTATTTTAATTTTGCAGATGAGGGAACTGAGGTTCCAAAAAGTTAAATCACTTAGCCAGGAAATGTCATAGCCAGGTTTTTCTGATAGGTTGTCCAGTTCTTTCCACATGCCTCATTGTCACCCAGAAGCAACACAAGGGAGGGTTATATAGTTCTATATAACTCTCTCTATGCTTCTATACGCATCATATATCTTGTTTTCTAATGTTATTCTAAATATTTTTCATTCACTTGGTTTTATATCCCCATTTTCTCCATTTTAACATGGGTAAAATATGTAAGACCCAAACTGAGGGAGATGTGTATGGGTAAGAAACTGATTATTTTGGTAACTGGTATGGATATGAAAACCATAACGAGTCTGTGGATTGCAAGCATTTTAATTTATTTTCTTGACTTTTGAGTTAAAGAAAAGATTTCAATGTGAAGGTGCAAAATATGCTGCACTGAACTAATCTTGGAGGTAACCAAAGGGCTGTGGGACTAACAGCTTTTGATATTACTTAGTGCTTATTATTGTTATTATTATTATTTCTTTTTAATTATGCAAAGTGCTAATCAGTTTGATTATGCACAGTGCTAATCAGGTTAATTATGCAAAGTGCTAATCAGTTCTTCTTGAAGCACACGAGGAGAGCAGAGGTGCTGGCGGTGAATGGCATAGCTAGATGGGGGTAGTCACGGCAGTCATTCCTTATTAAGATAGGAGTAGACAAGATAGCAAGGGGGATTTATCCATAAAAATAAATAGGAAAAGAAAGAGGACTATGAGCACATGAAAGATTGTAGTTTGGGCAGGACATTGCTTACACATAGAAAGCTCCTCCCCCCTGTAGCATAGTTTGGTTGGATAGTCTCTGCTATATTTTGAAGGCACTCATTTGAAGCCAAAAAGACTGTAGAGGGAAGGAAACAGAGTATTGTATAGCTAGACAAGTTGTCAAAACAACTTATTGTAGTTGGCAAGCACCAATTCCTGGGAGGACAGTAAAGGAAGTAGAATCTAATAGACCTGTACATGAAAAAGGACATCAATAAAGAGAACTGAAAAATTAAGGGAGTGCCATTCTGATAAAATAAACAGGGCCATCTCACTGCTGCATTGTTACTGGGACGGCCGTCTGTGTAGCCTGTTTCCTGAGGTGAACTGAGGGCTGGCTTCTTGGTGCTGGCAGTGGTCTCTATTGAGAGTGGTGATGACGAATATGACAATAAGGGTTTTATGTAATAGCTCCTAGTTGGATCAGCTTTGCTGCTGCTGAAATCAAAGTGAATTTTAATATTAACTTGCAGGTCTGTGCTTATTAAGCTGTGTGACTTCCTGTGAAGATGAGTTTATAGCAATATGTTCATATGTTTTTACAGAACAATCATGATGGTGCTCCCTTAAGAATGCCCTTTGTATTCTGTCCTCCTGTTCTATTCTGTGGTTTGATAAGCTATCAATGAAATGCTGTGATATCTACTTGTTTGAATGTATTCAGAGAGCAAAAAGCATTTCAGGATTGTTTAGTGAATATTCATTTTTTTAAAAAATGTTTTCAGTCCATGAGATTTTTCCTTTACTCTGGAGTTTAAGCAAATGTATACGTTATTTATAAAAGGGAGGGTCTGCTTCCCTCTATATAACCTGACAGAATATTTATTTACCTTTTCTTTTTAAGCCTATGTCTAAGCACAGCTCATCTTCACAAACTGAAGTGGATCTTGATTTCTGGAAATGTCCAAATAATGGTAAGAGTGCTACAGAGGCAAAGTCATTGATGATACCTCCAGAATAGGATGTATTCATAAGTTATTTGTCCAGGCAGTGTTGGTTCTTGGATAAAGACAGGCTTTCAGTTTTCATAATTTCTTTAACCTGGAACAATTTCATTTTAAAATATGAAGAGAATGACATAAATCTTTGGTTTCCAAGGAGAGTCTGGAAAGAAATAGATTGTTAGAGGACAGCGCCCACAAATTGAGAAAGCCTGTTGGGGGCCCTTTGGGAATTTGGCTGGAAAATTATGTTATAAGCAGTCCTTCTGCTCAGCTTCATGGGAACATGGTTTTAGAAATGAAATATTGCTTCTGTGTTCCCCACCCCCCAAAACTAAGACAAAGATGAAATATTCATATTATCCTTTATTTTCAG
Source organism: Homo sapiens (assembly GCF_000001405.40). NCBI lineage: Eukaryota > Metazoa > Chordata > Mammalia > Primates > Hominidae > Homo > Homo sapiens. Next base: position 114,873,635 of record NC_000003.12, on the reverse strand, counting down.
AACCTTTTGTGTTATTTCTCAATATGTTAAAAAACTTTCCTTAATTCCTTAATGATTCTGCCCAAAGGGTACTTTGTAAATTCTATTCATTGATGGTGTACTAAACTCTTAATTCCTGGTGAAGGCATTTGAAGCCAAAGACCTTGCTACATAAGACATTTATAATGTCACTGGGATGTTTAAAGGAGAAAATCATGTGATCCAAATGGCAAATAAAAATAAATTTAGTAACATCTAACTAAATATGACCAGTTTTCCATTTAATTACATGCTTGCACCCACTTTACACACATTCACATATATGAACCCGTTAATTCCTTCACTAAACCGTGTTATTTGAGCACCTGATTTTTTTTAAGTGCTCACTATGTGCTAGTTATAGTACCATAAACTCTCCTAGATACTGGAGATACAGTTGACCATAAAAGAGACAAGATACCTGGCCTCGTGGAGCTCACTCACACAGGATAACATGATAGTTTCTCATGATATTCAGCCTTAGAAACCAAGCTTTTGTATTTCATTTCTTCTCAGAACTTCTTTTAGCAATCTATATGATTCAATTACTGGGCCTCAGTATCTTCAATTAGTCTCAAAATAAGAGGTAGGACTTGATGGTTCTCAAGGCACCTTCATGTCATTCATATTCACTGTCCTAAAGTCTATTAGTTGATTAGACTATGAAGTGAAATGTATCCATTATTACCATATGAGCAGCCTTGAAATCATACAGAGTTCTTTGGGACTTTGATCTTTTAGGAAATAAGTAATTTCTAGCTAATTCTGTGGACACTACCTCCTTGGATTTAGGCCAAAATTGAATTTAGAAAGGGCGGACTTTGAAATATTCCACAGTTTGAATTTTGGCACTTGCAGTTACTAGCTGAGCAAGTCATAACCAACCACTTTGATCCTCTGATTCCTCTTAGTTTGTACTTCAAACAGTGAGTATGAGTATTTAATAAATACTCCATAGTCAGTCCTTTTTTTTTTTTATTTCTGGCAACTGTAGGCTTCATGACTCTTGTTACCAAAAATGTCTTCAACTAATTCAACTTCCTTTCCCCAAACGTCTTATTTCTGCATTAAGCCATTACTTCAGTTAACTCAGTATTTTCTCTCCCATTACATCTTTACAGTTTTATTTCTTCCTGTTCTCTTTCTTATGTGCTTTTACTTCTCTACTCAACCTGAGTCAACTTTTGGCTACTTAAATTATCATATGTAACATAATCTTGGTTACAACACAAAATGTGTGCAACTATAATTCAAGTCAATTAAATAGAAATATGTTTTCTACATCAGACCTGTGCCGTAGTTGTTTATATTTTTGACTTACTAGTGTACTGGAAACCTCTTGAGTACAAGGGTTGTGGTTTTAATCCTTGTGTTCCCAGTATCTAGCATGGATTCTGCCAGTAAGCATGTCACAATCTAGCAAGAAGAAAGAATTTGAAAGCAGTAGGAATTTTAAAGCAACAGGATATATGATCTGTTAGTAGGAAAGTGGAGATGTTGGGAAAGGCTCATGGAATAGATATTGGGAAGGCTTTATGGAGCAAATAATATTTGAGTTTGCTTATTTAAAAAGGGTACTTATTCTTTTTTTCCTGGCGGGAAGTGAAAGTAAACTCTAGGCAGAGAGAAGATCATGAAAAGACTCATGCATACATAAAGTTGGGAGGAACTGGGACCAGGAGACAGAAACGAAGACAAGAAGGGAAGATTAGGAGCATATTTTGAAGGTCCTATGTGTTGTTTAGTCTTACTTGAATAATCTTAGCTTTCCAAAATAAGTATATATAGTTGTGGTATAGAGAGTGTGGTGTTGCAATAAGATGATCATTAGCTTTTTTATGAAGAAGAAATAATAAGACTTAGCAACTGATTAATACAAGAAAAAAGACAATGAGAGATCATGTCAGAAAGAACATCTGGATCTGGGTTGCAGCCCCACTCCACACTTGATTTGTGACCTTAAATACTTAACTTCATCTTCCTAAACCACATATCTTTTAAGATCACTCACTCACTGATTATTATTGAAGAGGGCCCCTATTCCGGATGCTTTGGATCCCAGAGGTTGAGAATAATTGGTGTTTTTTAAGGAGAAAGATACATTTTATACCAGTAGCACATTTAGCCTAAGCTGGTATTAGGGCATTTGGGAAGATGAAAAGGAAGACATATAAAAGCAATATGTTCTGGCCAGAAAAAGGCAAAAAGGACCCTAAAACTAAAGTAGAGTTATAGCTTAGAGTATCTAAGAAGGCAGAGATACTGAAAGATGTATTTAGCAGAGCTCTGCATTTGGGGGTGAACATCTATCCATGGACCTAAAGAGATCATAGATTGCCCTGATTTGTCTACCCTCTATGTAGGAAGTTAACTCCTGTGATTGGTAACTAACCAAAAAATTAAAAGAAAGGGGAGATGGGGCAGGGGAGATAATAAGAGGGTATTTGCCAGTGGTTTACAAAGCTTTGAGGTGTACGTGTATGTGGTTGGGACAAGGTTAATTTCATGTCAGTAGTCATGGCCTTCTCCTTTCTTGTATCACAGAAAAGACTTCTTCTTCTCATTCTCTTCCATTTCTTCTAAGAACTCTCTTCATGCCAGCTAGGTGTCAAAACTTGGGTAGTGTGGAATTGGGGGAATGAAAAATAGAACTGGAAAAGTGATCATAGGGGAGGGGAACTCAAAAGTGACAAAATTTCACTTGGGTAAAAGGAAGGGGCTAGAGACAGGAAAAATGAGGAGGGAGGAAAGAAAAGTACCCATAAGGGATAGAAGGGATGGAGAAAAGACTTAGAGGTGAAAGTAAGGGTAGAGAGAGACTTTTGATGCAAAGTGGTTGTCCATGTGGAGAATAAAGTGGCCAAGACTAAGAACAGAGATTTTCTGTCTTATTCTTCTTGGTATTTTCTTGAGAAACTGAATGAAATTTGACTTTTTAATATATATTGAGGGGTGTGTGCGTGTGTCTGTCTGTCTGTTTCTGCTTGGCTGCTATTTCTTTGGATCAAAACTAGGGATTACCTGTGCAGCAACTTTGTTCCCACATTCCCACCACCATCACCACTGAAGCAAGGCTCAGAATTTTCAGTCCTTTTTAGTCAGTAGACTTCTGTGATTAATGCTCCATTAATCACTTGTTCTTCGTATTAAGTATAACCCCATAAAAATATGGGATTGGAGGGAGAATGGTCAACCAGTATGTGATTCATACTAGATGACAGTCCTCTCAAGATGGCCCTAATTTCTTGTGCATTTCACCTACATGCTGATCTTAATTCATGTGTTTTTACTTGATAGGGGTCAGATGAACAAAGTAATTTCATATTAACTATGACAAATTTGTGCATAGGTGAAAGAAAAGACCTCTACTTTTCAGACATTATTATTTTCTGGAATAATCTTTGGGGATTAGGTAGCCAATTAATCAAGATCCCCATAAGAAATGTTAGCAAGTAAGACAATATCCAGTAAAACACTATTAGCCAACATTGTTATTCAGGAATTAAAGTTCAGGTAGGATAGCTTTGGCATCATGAGATTATTCTCTGTGAGACTGACCTATTGCCAATGACGTATATGTACATGCTTTAATTGATGTGTGGGAACTTGGTGCCACCCTACTGCTGAGATTTCAAGGATTGTGTGAAGATTTTGTGACAGTAATTACACACTTTTTATCAGATAGATTTTATGTATTATCACATGTCCAATTTAGAAATTTTCCTTTGTTTTTATTTTTGGCATTAAAAAAGGAATGCATACTTCATAAACTTACATTTTTGCTATTTGTTTGTAAGAAAGGAATTCCAAGTGGGTTATGTAACATTAAGCATATGGCTACACAAAGATTAGAAAAGCTGTGGCCATCAGGAATAAATATTGGTGATAACACTGATGGGATTTCACACATATAGTTTATTGTGAGAAAATCAGAAAGACTTGCACAGAACTTAGATAAGGAAATAGGCTTGTTTTTTGATGAAAATATAAAAGGAAGCATTTGTTATTAACACGGTAGGCTTTGAAATTTGGCTTTCTACTTCCACTTAAGAGGAAACACCTTAAGTCTGATGAATTTTTTCCTATGGTAGACAGTACTTAATCTAGTATTACTAGATTAAACCCCTTAGTAATCAAACATTTTAAACCAATAAAATATCTCTGAAGAGCAAAATGTACCACTGCTCCAGATTCTTCCATGATGTCAAAAACATAGAAGCAACAAATGTGGACCTGATTTAGTAGTCAAGGGAAAATATGATGTGATGGAGAATTAATAAAAGACTATTTTAATATTGGGAATGAAAAACTACCACAAATCTTAAGGGTTTACATTAGCAGAACTTGGTTTGGTTTGAGTAGACTTAAAACAAGATTTTGAGCGAGCTTCTAAGGAGTTTTGAGGATCATTTTTTTTCTGTCATGAATTTATGCTACATAACAAATGCAGAAATTGGAGAAGTGTAAATCTATCATTTCTTTTGACATTTATGTAGCTTCAGTAACCTCCTAAGTTGAGATCATTTGAGATTTTTAGAACATGGATACCTCTAGAAAAAATGAGGAGGTTCCAGTAGCTCCTCAGAAATAGCTTAGCTTCACATTGAAGGAAGATTCATAAGGTCTTTATGGAGCAAAGATATTTGATCAGAACAAACATTCTTATCATATGGAACCTTTTTCCTGCAAAAAAAAATGACTGTTAGGGTAATTAAATTGGTTATTTGCAGCTTCTCTCCTTTCCCCTCTTCCCTCTTCCACCTGCACAGTATTGTTATATTGAGTTGCCATGATAAGAGTAAAAAATAATCAAACCAACCTATACACATTTTTATTATGAACAAAAAATACTTGGAAGGATTCTATTGATACAAGCTAATGCAAGATAATAATTTGTTTATTCAAAAGTGTTTTGAATGTCCTTTTCCATTGATCATGTGCAACTGGTATAAACAAAGATCCTATGTATGGTAGAGAGCTTATATTTGCATTTCTTTGTATATTTAAGCATTTTTAGCAGACTTACATTTCTGTTTATTGAGAGTACTCTTTAGAATTTGTGCAATCATATGTATATATCAGCAGCAGACATTTGGGTAGGTAGTGAAGGTAAGTTCTATAGTCAGTGTAACTAGAAGATTATATAAATTAATTATATTAGTTTTGATGCTTTGGGTAAAATCAGTGTGCTACATGAACCTCCAGTTACACAGGACAATATACTGTGCTCAAAAGACATGAAGGCAGACTAAGAGTACAGAAAAGCTGTTGGTTTTGTTTGGGGAGTTCCTGGCTTTTTATCCGCTTGGGGAAGGAGCAGGTCTTATTGTCAGTTGCCAAGTGCTCTGATGCTGAGAAGTTTGTCAGCTGTGGTTACTTTGGGGATTTTGGCAATGATAAGCACTTTTCCTTGAGAAAAATCAGCATAGATACCACACATTGGAATTGGACAAATTGCTTTTATTTTCTATTTTCTTTAAAAATCAAATTGGCTTTTCCTTCTTGTCCCAGCTGTTGCAGCTTCCTTGTTTTTTAGCTTAGATGATGGGAGAAACACATGTTCCCTGAGATCCAGAGTAAAGCTTACTTATTTTCTTCCTGTACAGACTACGTGAAGTTACGATACTGGCCCCAAATCTAACTAAACAAAGTTATTCAGAAGAGATTTGACAGAGAGGGTGTCTAACAGGTGTTGAGCTGGGGTAATTGAATGGGTATTTCAAAGATATTAATGTAACTCGCATATATTAGAAAGCTTTAATTGCCATCTCCAGCATGTTTAGACCTGAAAACTTCAGGGACCTAACCTGTTCCATAGAGAAGTCTTTTTATGCCCCTATGGTTTATAGCTGGAAACAAAGTATGTATGTAAGAGTTGGATTGGGGCAGGTGCGGTGGCTCACTCCTGTAATCTCAGCACTTTGAGAGGTGGAGGCAGGTGGATCACTTGAGGCCAGGAGTTTGAGACCAGCCTGGCCAACATGGTGAGATCCCATCTCTACTGAAAATACCAAGTTAGCCGGGCGTGGTGGGGTGCGTCTGTAACCCTGGCTACTCAGGAGGCTGAGTCATGAGAATCGCTGGAATCTGGGAGGTGGAGGTTGCAATGAGACGAGATTGTGCCAGTGCACTCCAACCTGGGTGATAGAGCTGAATTGGTTGAAGTAGTACACAGTAAGGCACTAAACAAACTTGACCTTTTCTATAAATTCCTTCACTTTCCCTGTAACCTGTTACTTTTCAAAGGGAAAGATCACATCTATATTTCTAGTCAGCTTGCTATCATGGTAAGGAACCAAGATTCCCTTCCAGTTAGGGTAGTGGAAGATGAAAGTGGCTTTTCTTCTTGATATCTGGATCAACCTGGTTTTCCTGCCATCTCTTATTTCATAAACAAGCTTATCATCTGACCTAGCTGCAGATCGTGTTTTAAAATTTGCCCCTACCCCTGCTCCTCTCTTAAGAGCCGAGTGCCCACAGAACATTATCCTCCTCATCTGGACCTATCTTTGCTCTTACTGAAGGGGGCTTTTTCATCCTATAATTCCTTTTCTGTTGGCTTTTCTTGGGAAAGCAGTTTAAGAAACATTCATTAACTATTTCTGGGTGTCAGAAACTATGTACTATGTTTCCAGAGAATTGGAACTAATAAAATGTATACCTGTATAGAAGAGATGTTTTATAAGGAATTGACTCACATGACTGTGGAAGCTCACAAGTCCCAAGATCTATAGTCAGAAAGCTAGAGACCCCAGAGAGCCAATTGCGTTAGTCCAACGTATTAGTCCAAAGGCTTGAGACCTGGGAAAGCTAATGGTATAGTCCTAGTCTGAACTTCCTTAGGCCAGAGACCTGCAGAGAGCTGATGTTTCCAGTTTGAGTCTGAAGACAGGAAAAAAAAAGGAATGTTCCAGCTCAAAGGCTGTCAAGCAGGAGAAATTCCCTATTACCTGTGAGAGAGTCAGCCTTTTTGTTCTGTTCCAGCCTCCAACTGTTTGGAGATGAGGGAGGCCAATCTGCTTTACTCAGTTACTGATTCAAATGTTAATCTCATCCAGAAACATTCTCACTGAAGTACACCAAATAATGTTTGACCAAATGTCTGAGCACCCTGTGGCTCAGTCAAGTTGACCTATAAAATTAGCCATTACACCTCCATTACCTAATTTAATCCTGACCAAAACACAACCCCAAACCCCATGAAGTAGACACTATTGGTTATTATCACCAAATTTAATGACTAAGAGTAAGGTGTCTAGAGTGAGATTGCCCTTACTAGAATTCTGTCTTCGCCCCTTACTGTATAACAATAGGCAAATTACTCAACCTTAGTTTCTTCATCTCTAAATCTGGGATGATAACACTACATACTTGGTTGAGTTATTATGATAATTAAATGGAATAATGCATGTAAAACACTTAGCATCGATAACTGGAACATAGCTTAGTACTCAGTGAAGAACAGCTATTATTTAAATACATGAGGAAATAAAGTTTCATAGTGGTTAAGATCTTTGCCCAAGGTCATGTAGCTAGTAACTGGTGAAATTGGGATTTGAACTTAAGCTGTTTGCCTCCAAAATTATGCATTTAATTCCTCTCTATTAATCTTAACACAGAAGTAGAATAATGTAATGGTTAAGCCTCTGGCGTTGGACTCCACGGTTCAAATCTTGGCTATCTCATTCACCAGAAGGCTTTAGGCAAGTTAGTTAACTTATCTGTACTTTAGTTTCTTAATCTCTAAAACAGAAATGAAATAGTATCTTTCCCGGAGTCACATAGAATCAGATCATTTCTAGGGATACTACCTTCATCCATGAATTTTAAATGATATAATTTAAGACACAAGATTTCTCCTTTTTCCTTCAAATTATACTGGTTGTTATTGATATGGGTAAGTAAGATTTATGAAATCTAGTGAAGCACTAAAAATATGCTAACATATTCGTAATGTTACAGATAGCATGGCTTTGCAACAAATTTCTTCAGAAACTTTTTTGAGAGGGAGAATGAAAATGATAGTTTTCATTCAGAATAATTGTAAGTGTCTTCAAAATGAAGTTCAAATCCATGTATAGGAGGTGGAAGGAAGCCAAGAAGGAATCCATTATAAGGTGAAAATCATAAGTCCTCTTTTTGTGACTCTATCTTGCCCGTTTAATAGAAGTGATATAAGTAAGATCTGCCACCTAGGACCAAATATTTCTTTCTCTAGTACTTAAGACAAGAAGACGCAGAATTTCAGAATACTGTATGTGGGTTCTCATCTGTCAACCAAAAGCAGCTGAAAAGGCGAGAGCCCTGGAGAAATGTTTCCTACATATGTATTTGTTTTTAGACAAATGTGTTTGTTTAAAAGTCTAAAAACCATGGAAATGGGTACCATGGAAATGCATAGTTGAGGGGTAGAAGCCCTAGAAGTGTTGACTCAATTCTTGATCCTTCTGTGTGATGTATTAAATGCCACATGCTTCAGTTTGCTGTGTGTGGGGTCTTTCAGCACTATTTATAATAGATGGCAATCCTGTGTGAAGGACATAAGAAAATTTCTGATTCGTTTTTCAAGAGACTAATGAGAAGTTGGTTGTCATCTGGCTGTTGCTTATGGGAGGAAAACTCCAGAGAAAATTATAATGTGTATATTACTCTTCCTTCCAAAAAAATTTTATTTGAGGTTAAAATTAATATTAAGGGCAGCCGTAAAGGGGAAACATAAAATCCATATGCAGATTGAAGAAGTGTGGCAATGAAGGGGCAAAAGTTGGAGTTACCCTCTTGCCTCAAGTGGTTGGAGAAATTGTAAGCCAATTGCATATATTTCAGTCTTAACACTTTTGTATACTTCTCAATTTCTTTTAAAATTTAACTCCGGAAGTCATAGTTAGAAATTTGTCTTCTTTACCAACTTCCTCCATGCATTACCTATCGCCCATCTACCTCCTAAAATTTGGAGTCTTCTCAAAGCAGGCAATATTTGTAGATAGTATTATATGAAAATGTTGGAATCCAGTGAAAATTTTTATGGTAAACATAGATGGAAATGTCCTCTTTGCTATAAGATAGTAGCTACTTTAAGTATTTTTTCCTTTGAATAATGTTGTTCATGTCAATTGCCAAAAAAAAAAATCCTTGTAATTATATGAAAATAAAAAGGAAAAAATACTTAAGAAATAGGAGACCAGGAGGGAAATTATAATTGAATCTGGAAACCATTTTTTTTAACCTTGGCTAAATAAATAAGAAATGATAAGAGGTACAATACAATAAGAAATGAGAGATACTGAGGTTCAAGCAGACTGCTTTATTTAACTCCATTTAATTTTATTGGATTGAATTTGATGGAGACAATGTCAATGGACATATATATGAAGATTGGTAGCAGAATTCCTGGGGCTGTTTTATCATTGTCATGAACATGTACAAACAGAAAGGGAATGCTAAGTAATTCTGAATGTACTAGTGATTTTTAGATAACAGATTTCAGTTTTACAAATTCACTGAGCCAGCAGGTGGAAGCAGATCTGTCACCTGTATCTAGTTCTTGATTTCAATATACTAGGAAAGCAAATACATCAATATCACATTTTTTTCTTTTCTTCCTTTGCCAAGATGTATTTAGGATGTTTTCTCAGCATTACAGAACTCTCAGCTAAAAGATACGTTTCAGTTTCATTTTTAGAGGAAGAAGAAAATGTTAAGTGGGCTGCTAGCAATTTTTAATTGCTGATAGCAATTAAACACCAAACTTAATGTCCCTTGGCCTCTTTGGTTTTCTTATAGAGTGAAGTTTATATACTATAGCTGAAGAATTAGTTTACAAGCAGAAATACTTGTAAAAGCTGCATTTTGTGTCCTACAAGTGAACCCAAAGGAAGTGATATTGCCTTCAAGTAACAGAACCTCTCGGGCAGATTATCAGAGTAAAATAAATTCAGATATGTATACCCCTCAACAAGCTATACTTTGGTAAGTTATGTTTTGACAGAATTTGTTTAGTGGACAGAGGTAGGCCATGTTATTGTCCCACAGGGTAACCTCAAATGAGGTCATTAGCCCTGGAAGCAGTGATTTCCAATTAGCCCATATGTGATAGAGTTGCAAACTCTTACCAAAGACTTTATTAATCTCTAGATAATTTATCTTCTAATACTTTGTGCCCTTCTTTATTTCTTTTTTATTGTAGTGGCATTATTCTTGAACTTATCCATTAAGAGTTGTAACTAGGTTCCAATTTGAAGAAGCCCAGATGAAGCTTCAGATTGTGTTTGTATAGAACAAGTTAAGAACTGGCAATATGAATAACTAATATAGATAACTCAGACATTTCAGAACTAATCATTTGACCTAAATTAATTTCTTAGATATTGGTCAGATTCTCTAGGTGATTTTCAGATATCCCCTCCACTTTATGGATATATGTTGTAATTAATCAGTATACTTACTTTTTGCTATAATGTCCTCCTGGCTACTCAGAAGAAAACCAAGTAATTGAAGCCTTAGTAAATTAGGAGGGTAACATGGTAAAAACAAACAGAAGTCACTGGTTCATAGAAAAATCTTGCCTCATAATTGCATTGTATATGAAGATATTTTCCTCTTATGCCCATAAACAGTAATTTAAGTTCTGAAATAAGGACCTTGTCTTTATTCCTAGAACCTCTTCCAATACCTGGCACATAGTATGTATTCAATAAATAATTGTTGAATAAATGAACTTTATTGTAAAGAGGATCACTATTATCCTAGATTTGGTTATATATTGGGTCAAATAAAATCTCTTCCCTTCTCCTCTGCTTCCAAAAGAAAATGTTTAATATGATGCCCCCAACTTACAAACAGGTTGTGTTTCAAAATTCAGACAGTTTAGTTTTCTGGAACCAAGAAAGCTTCCCTTATTTATACACTTATTGCAACAAATACCAACTGAACCCTCACTACCATCCAGGTATGTTATAGGCTCGGAGCATACAATAGTGAATAAGACACCAAGTCCTTGTTCACATGGACTCGTACACTTTCCCTCCTAGAACTAGATCTCTTAGAACTGTGCCTGGCACAAGGTGCACACTCAATAATTGATAACTACTATTTTTAAAGAATAACCCTACTATTTTCAAGGATGTTTATTCGAGTTTTGAACTGAGCTATCAGGTGACTTCATATCCCAAAACAAAATTTGAATGGAAGCACTAGGTTAAAAAAAAAAAAACAGATGCCATTTTAGGTATGTTCTTATCCTATTTTATTAATCTTCCCTGGGCATCCACTTTCAAAACAGAGGCATCTTACCACTTTAAAAAAAATTATTTACCGTGTGGCCCTGGCAAGTCATAGCCATGTGACTCTCACCTAAAAATAATGAAGATATGATAATATTCTAATTCACAAAGAGAACACAGCAGAACTTAGTAAATTAATGTTTGCACAGTGCTTAGAAATCTGAGGTTGTAATTGCTAAAAGAAATGTACAGAACTATTATTGCTACTAAAATTATGATAGACACTTTTTTCTACCAAAAAAATACCTCAGTGAATTGGTGTTTATATTTTTAAAGTTGTATGCCACATTAAAGAAAATGTTCTATGTGTATCTAAAGGAAAAACAAATAAGAATCATGTCCCTTTGTTATTATGTGATATAAAATTGCAAGGGATTCACTATTTTGGGGAAAGTAAATAGTATTTAAGACCTTATGATTCACCAGTTTGGACAGATGGATGATTGCATCTTCTTACGTAAGTGACAGGTGGCAGCTCTAGTGAAATGGCTTCCAAAGTTCTTCTGATTTTTGCTTCTCTTTCTTATCTGTTCTTTGGCTTGGAGCAAAGTGGCAATGCACTCCAATTACAAGAGTAAGGAGAGTTTTGGAGGGCTGAGGTTTCGTTTTTGGGGGGTGTGTGTGTGTGTGTGTTTGTGTGTGTGTGTGTGTGTGTGGTGTGTGTCTTGTCAGCATTTTGGTTAACTCCATCTATTCAGTAATCTAGCTAAATGGTGGGTAATAAATGCCCCACAGCAACAGGCTGTGATTTCAAACCAGGTCTGAACACATTCTTCCTGGAATAGTTATTCTTCCACATAGACTTTGTTAATTGTCTAGAATGTGAAGGGTCATTGTAGGTGATACCTTCTCTTATCAGCAGAAAATAAGGTGAGGCTTAAACTGTACAACTTAAAGGAGAATAAATTTTTAAATTTTAAGTATTATTTATTTGACAAATATATAGTGAGCACCTACCATATATTAGGCACAGTACTGGACACTAGCAATAAACTAAGGAATAAGACAAAGTATTTGGTTCAAAGAAGTTAAATTTTATTAGGGGAGACAGATAATAAGCAGTACATAATTTCCGGAAAAAAATAAATACTATGAAAAATAATAAAGTGAGATAGGTAGAGTAAAGTTGGCAAGCTATTTCAGATGTGATGGTCAGTGTAAGTCTCCTGAAGAGGTGACATTTGAGGAGAAACCAGAATAAAGAGAGAAGCATGCTAAACCCTAGAGGAAGAGCATTCCAGTCATGGGTAACAAAAGGTCTAAAGGCCCTGAGGTGGGACTTAGCTTGGTGTGTATCAGCAAAGAAGTACTTAATGAGCTTTGAAAGTCTTTACAATACTGAAAAGCCAGACATAGAGGGTTCCATTCAATCTACACATACTTGCCTTATACAACCTGTAGGGTTGGAAGACATGCTTATGAGGCGATTCCCAGTTTCAGATCTTAAGATGTTTTTGTGATACTCTTGATTTTAGTGAAACCATAAAAAAGAGTAAAATGCCTTCTGTCAAGTAGCACAGGACTATGTCTATTCTGATAAAACCTGAACTTTAGTCCCTGAAGATGCTTTTGAAAGAGAATGCCACAAGACAGTTAAAGCACACCAGTAAGATCTCCAGGATGACTGTGAGGGCAGGAAGTAAAGTGAAAGCACAGCACTGCAGGTGCTTTATTTTCACCTTTCTTCCACTTAGAAAGCAACTCTTCTCACAATTATCCTATAGTGCCTCCTACCCTTTGGTTTAACTGACCATGTAAGATGCATTGAGTATGAGGGCTATCTGTTGTAATGACGTAATCTCTAATGTTATTCTGCCTATGGAAATCTCTGATTGTTCTGGTAATGCTGACACTTCTTACATTATGACAACCATTCTTGAAGAGTTTTGTGAAGATTAAAAAAAATTAAGCCACAGTGTTTGATATACTAGGGATTGCCATCTCCCCCATGAAGGCCTATAGCAAATCATTTTGTAAAACACATATTCAGATCCTAATTTTGTTGTAATTTCAGAATTTTTTTTTTTTTTGAGACGGAGTCTTGCTCTGTTGTCAGGCTGGAGTGCAGTGGCACGATCTCGGCTCACTGCAACCTCCACCTCCCGGTTTCAAGCGATTCCCCTGCCTCAGCCTCCCGAGTAGCTGGGACTACAGTCACACGCCAACAAGCCCGGCTAATTTTTTGTATTTTAGTAGAGATGGGGTTTCACCCTGTTGGCCAGGATGGTCTTGATCTCCTGACGTCGTGATCCACCCATCTTGGCCTCCCAAAGTGCTAGGATTACAGGTGTGAGCCACCGCGCCCGGCTGTAATTTCAGAATTATAGATATTGAATGTCCATAGTGACAAACACCTATAAAAATAGAAAACTCTCCAGTACTGTTTTTGGAACCTGAAAGATTGGGTTAGTCATTTATTCTGTTTTGTTGTTCAAACATTGTTTTAAGCCTCAGATTTCAACCTATATATATAGAATAGCAGAGAGGGGATGAGGTCTATTAGTGACATTGTAGTTGTAAAAGTGCAGTTTGAACCTTTGCTTTATTTATGTACATACTGTACTGTCGTTTGCTCTGTGCCTTTATAAAAGTAATCAAAAAAAAGTATTTCTTCACTAGCTATTGCAGTCTTTTATAAAAGACTGCCTTTGCTTAGAGCATGCTATATATTGCAGTGTGGAATATTGGAGGCCATTATAAGAATGTTTGGAAATAGCTTGACCCCTGAAAGATATCTATAAACTCAAAAAAAAAAAAAAAAAACGCCATAAGAAGTTATCTAAATTTCCCCCTAAGTTAGCATGATGAATAGTAAAAGCATGTGGATTCTGAAACAAAAATATTATTTTCTTACTCAAATTTTTGCACCTCCTCCACCAAATTGAAGGAAGGAAGGAAAGAAGAGAGAAACTAAGGGAGAGAAGCACGAGAAAAGAAAAGGAAGAAGGAAGGAAGGAAGGAAGAAAGGAAGGAGAAGAGAGGGAGAGAGGAAAAAGGAAAGAAGAAAGGAAGGAAGGCAAGAAGGAAGGAAGGAAAGAAGGAAGGAAGAAAGGAAGGAAGGAAGAATGGAAGGAAGGAGGAAAAGAAAGAAGAAAGGAAGGAAAGAAGGAAGGAAGGAGGAAAGGAAGGAACGAAGGAAGGAAGGAAGAAAGGTGGGCAGGCAGGCAGCAGAAGGGAGAGGAAGAATTCTCTTGTCATGTGAAATGCTCTTGTGAAATTTTTCAGGCATTTTCTGTTTTTTTAAAAAATATTTTTTTTCTCATCATACAACCTTGAAAGTTGACTGGCTTACTGTCAGATGCATTAACTAAATGCAATTTCTGTTTTTAATAATGATAGCTCAAACTTCATGTGAGATCATACCAGCCATACAATGTAATTCAGTTTATGGTTTTCTTATATACTTCAAATACCTGCAATATGTAGTTAATAGTACTTTTTTTAGATAAGTAGTAGGACATCACAACAGTGATGTTATGGTGGGCTGGTATATGTCAGTAAAGTAGATTCCACTAAAAAATGGAAAATACAAGATATTTTGGTGTAATTTGTCTAAAAATATTCATGACAAAGAAGTCTCTTTTACTTTAATGTCCAAAGTGATAAGATGCTGATGTGTCTGAATGAAGGAAAAGGGTGTGAAGCAAAGACTGCACTTTCTAAGCTGAAGAATGTTTCTGCACTGCACGGAGCTCAAATACAACTTTATGGTAGGGAATGTGCACTTAAGATTAGACTAGTAGCTCCTAAAGCAAATATGATGTCCATGATTTCTTTCAACATCACACACACACACACACACACACACACGAATACACGCACAAGTAGAAACTGCAGGTGCTTCCTTTTTATTGCACTATGTAAAGAGAAAATGTAAAATGGACAAGCTTTCGACAATCATGTTCTCTTCATCAAGCTGTTATTGTTATTTTAGTGAGTCCACTAAAAAGAATTATCTAGAGCTTCTTGTTTTTACTTCTTTGTGTAGTTGATGAATATGATTACCATTTTTACCTCCTGTATTTAAACCCCTCTGCCATAATCCCATATTCTGCCTAAAAGCCATGTCTGTGGGAGCTTGTTCCCTGCAATCGTTTTTAGGGATATAACTGCGTTTAAGCAGGTGCAGTAAATGCAGTTTTGGCCATTTTTACTGTTGTATGCAAGTGAAAAATGCCTAATATAATTAAGCTGAGATTAATAGAGATTATTAGTAAAAATAAGCTTGTTTTATGAATGAAGACCTCACACTAATTCAACATGGCCTTTCTTTGACAAATGCACTGTATTCACTTATGTAGCACAACATTGTATGCCTGAAAAGTGAATAAACATTTACAAGGCTACCTTCCAGAATTTTCCATTAATCGTCTTCTAATTCTTTTCCTGTGGCCAGCAAGAGGAATCCGATTTTATTTTTAAGTGGAACAAAGGGATTGGCCTAGCACCACAAGGGACACTGATTGTCAGAAGCACAAGTTATCTTTAGTTAATTTTGTTACTGAATTGTTCTTGGTTCTTTTTCTCACTTTTAGAATTTTAAGCATCCTATTCAAAATGGCCACCATACAGGGGAGGTGGGAGAGAAGGAAAATAATAAAGAACAGTGGCAACTGAGTTGATTCTGTATAAATAAGCACATTTGCTGCATCTCTGTTCTGCAGTTTTTATGTCCCACTGATGAGAGAACTGGTTTGAGATGTAAATTGCTTTCCTTTGATTGAACCAGGGAGGAGATGTCATGTAACTCATCTCATCAGCATAGAGCATTGTGTGCCTTTGGTGAATTATAGGATAACGGCGCTAGTAAGAATTCCTTAACCTCTCTCCGCAGCCCTGTTCCAGTGCTTAATAACCACCAAGGGGAAGTACTTCCCTACAGTTCACCTGACTACCTTCTGTGGTTTTAGCTTATTTATTCATATCCTGTCCTTAAATATTTTGTAAAGGATCACGGGAAAGTGCCAGTGTTTTACCGTGCCAGATACACCCTGCACATTAAAATATAAAATTGCGAGGAGTTTTAATGTTTGTTTGTTTTAGGTAGAGAGCACTTAGAAGGTGGCTTTGGAAAGATGAGAAAGGTGATGAAGACGTGATCTCAAAGCAATATTTACCATTTATCTCACTTGTCAAGATTTAGGATAAACCTGTAGAAGCAGCTATGCATGAAAATGGAGGATGGGGTAGGAGTAGAGGTAGAAGTGGGGGTAAGAACTCCCTGTGATATCCATGAGATTATGTGCTGTATGAGAAAAGAATCAGGAAGTGGAATGTGAAACAAAAGAACTGGAAATAGGCCTGCAATCAATCTAGCTTGGTATCTCAACAAACCAGTGACTTTTTTTTAATATGTAAGAAATTCAGGGCAGATATTACAGCCCTATCATGACAGCACGGCCTTTTCTTCCTCCTCTTCTATTAAATCTACATTTTGAAGGTGGATGGTGCTGACTCATAAATTAAATTGGAGTAATACATACAGTGTATATATATTTCTGTCACTTTGTCTCAAATTAAACACGAACCTTCTCCCCTGACAAGATGATAGAAAAGTTAATTGCTCGCCCTGGCTTTAAATTGGAATTTGAATTTGCAAAATGCTAAAGGTTTATGAGATCTAAATCATGAGGAGCTTAAATTACATTCCTGTGATAAAATATTAATAAATCAATTAAAACATAAGCCGAGTATAATATTACTTTTTTTTTGTAAGAACCTTGAACACAATAATTCATTAGGGTGTAGTGCAGTAACAATTATTGTATCTTTTTTTAATTTTCTTTTTATTAGTTTTTTTTGATAAATACATCATCAGATAACATTCCACATGGTGGATTATCATTACCCCAATGCAGCTTCCAGAAATTCTGTTGTACCCCTAAACAAGAGCTCACAGGCTGAATTGTCTGCTCTTATTTATCCTTGTTAGCATCAGCTGCTTCTTTTACTGAAGGGGTATTTGCCTCTTGGGAACATCTGTTCAATGCCAACTCTGCCATTTTGTGGTTTCTGAATCTCTCTTCCAAAAATGGGCATAATCATAATAATACTACCTCAGAACTGGCATGAAGATCAAATTAGATAATGTATGTGGAAATCATTTGTAGGTGGTAAAGGACCATCAAATGTTAATTATTATTATCATAGATTGGGGAATTTTTTATCTCTAGAAGGGCTCTTAGACGTCACTTAGTAATCAACCCCCTCATTTTAAATCTGAAGGATCAGAGAGGTCCAGAGAGGTTAAGCCACTTGTCTAATACCACACAGCCAGAAAGTGAAACTGCTGAAACTGAAATTAAGACTTGTAAATCCCACCTCAGGGTGTTTTTCACTCTCTATACCCTAACGCCTCCCTAAAATAATGCTAGGAAGGTCACGTTAAGTTTGGGTTATTTACTCTCGCCACATAACTTTCGCTTTGAAGCTGCTATTTTTCTGTTGTTGTTGTTGTTTTGACTGACTAAACATTAGTTATTTTAGGGATAATTTTCTAAGGGGCCTGGTGGCACAAACACATATCCCCACAGCTGTCAGGAAAGGTTCATTTGGCTAAGGAGGCACTGCCTTCTCCTGCTGCTCCCCAAATGAAGACTCAGCAGTGTATCTTCCTCTCCTACAGGGTTCTGGAGGAAGCCTCAGATGAGGAGAGGTAGTAGCTTTCCTTTTTAAATACTTCTGTCATGTAATGACGGATGAGGATTCACCCACCACGAATTTTATCTCCTTTACCTCCTTCTTGCTCTCTGGCCCTAGTTTTTGGTTTACCTTCCCCTTTCTCCCAAGTTCCAGGAATCACTCGGACATTTTATTTATTTTGAACATAAAGAGAACCATCTCCATAATACCTTTTCCAGAAAATAATAATTGGAAATGAATAGATGTTTCTTCCTTTCATGCTAGGAAAACACTAGCTCAACAGACTATCAGCAGATCAGAGAATAAGAGACTGTGTGCTAATCCTGTTTTTCCTGGTAACATGGGATATATCTGACAAGTTTTCATCATTCTGTCTTTGTTTTCCCTTCCCAACAATAGAAATAACAAAATCAATCTATACTAGTAGTTTGAAGACCTCCATTAAATAATTACGAAAGGTTCACAAATGATAAAGAGTTATACAAATGCTATATAATAGTAATCTGTGATCTTCTAGGAATAAGCTAAGGCAGAGTGGATAAGTTCTATGAGATCTATAACATTTACATACTTATAACACACACATAATTATTGATTGATAGTGATGTGGTTTTTACAGAATATTCGATGCATTATGGCCAAAGAAGATATGGTCTCTGTCGTAAAGATTTAAGATTAGGATAAATTATTTTACAAGAGAAAACAGAAGAAGTTTAGACAAAAGAAAGCTGATTGAAGCAGAGAAACTATTGGAACTATAAGATTAGTCAAGGAAATTAACAAAAAGTAGATTTTAAGGAAGCTAGAGTCTTTGGTGACATTTAGAAAAAAAGTGAAATGATTCATTGAATAAAATAATTACTGATCAGAGTGCAGCAATGTATCCATTGTCAAATGTCATAAAGCTTCAATTAAAAACACAGAAATAAGCAAAATATACTTTTAAGAAGGCAAATGAGATTTGATGAAATCCAAGAACTTCACATATTAGATAGCCCTGCAGGGTATCAGTGATTAAATTCATTTTATGGATAAGGAAACAGATTCAGGGACGTTAAGTGATGAGCACAAAAACACAGTCAGGATTCAAACCAGGTCTGTCTGACTCCAAAGCTGCTTTCTCTTTTCATTACCCTATGCAATCTTTTGCAGCCAATTTAAAGCCACAGAAAACATACCAAAGAAACAAAGACAAAAACTATACAAATGTACTGGAGAAGAGGAGGCGGGAAAACAGAAAGTGTTTTTTCTAGAGGCAGACTCACTGATGGCAATGAGAACTGAAATAGAAGTGAGTACCTTGGCTAAACAACTAGGAAAAAACACACAAAAGAATCATGAAAGTATTTATATAACTTCCCTGTTAGCCTCTATTATCTTTGATAGTAGTGTAATATTTTATTTGGATTATCTTTTATTATTAAGGCTCTTATCATTTTCTAGTTGTTAGTATACAAAGTATTTTGACACATATTATGTCATTTTCCACTCACAGAAAACTTATATTGCAAGAAAGGAAGTATTGCTATTCCTGTTTTACAGATGGGAGAACTGAGGCTTGGGTGGGCTAAATGATGTGTCAAAACTTTATTAATAATAAGTAACAGAAAGAACTTAAGAATCTGGAACTACTCACTCCAGTACATTTCTACCATATCAAGTCACTTATTTGTTTCAGAAAATAGGAACTCATTGTAAAGATTTTCATCTTAAAGTTTAAAAGAAAACTGCTTAAACAGGTAACTAGAAAATTTACTTACAACAAATGCCTCATTTTCCTATTACTCTTCTATTATAGAAAACAATGAAGCATTGCAGAAGCTAATTTTAAAGATTAAAGCAACTCACACATAACTTTGCTACTCACATGAGGTCATTTTACAGATACTAATTGGGGTCCTCTAACTTCTTTTCCACATATACCATGTTATTTGTCATTCTACAATCAAAGTTTTAATTTATAACTTCATCTGGTAGTCTAAAGTTTAGTTTAGATTTTTAAAATCTCCTATTTAAATGCAAATATGCTTATGAGGGGAAATATAAATGGTCAATGAATGTGAATGCTGTAGTTGACACCTTACAACAGGACACCTTACAAGGGATTAGTCCAGGGGTTTAAGGACAAGGACGGGCAAGCACTTGATTGAGAGAAGGATTGGAGAGGAGCTAATAAGTGAAGTTTTGTTTTTGCCATTTAGGAGGCCACAGATGAAAAACTAAATGCAACACTGTCGCATATGTTGCTGTGCAACAAACAATTAAATAGAAAATGAGATGCATATAAAAAAGCCTTTTCTTACAGAAGGCAGGTACACTCTCAAATCAGAAACCATGGGATATTTCGAAATTTAGAACAGGGACAATGTCGAGAGTATTTTAAATATAGGCAGCAGGTAGAACATCCAAAAGTTGATGGACACATGCTCCAGTTACTTACATGCAACAGGAAAGTGTGAGGCTATAGGTGGTCTGCAGAAGGGTTGCTAAGGCTTGTTCTACAACAGATGATAACAGAGGAGGTGGCAGTGAATGAGGAATGACACCAGCCTGCCACATGTGCCAAAAGCAGGATGCATGGGTGGCAAGGTGGAGAAGATAAACCACACCAGCCTTTGCCACTGTTGATCACCTTCAGGAGAAGAGAAATAAGGAAATATTAGATCATGACTTGGAAAATGTATCAGGCAGGACTTTGTGCAAGCCCTTTGGAACTCCCGCTAATCTAAATGGGGAAGACAAGACACTGAGAACACTAAGCAGATCCATATCTCTTGAACAATGTGCACGGTCGAGTTGGTGAGAAAGGTAAAACATAACAGGAAATATGGTACCAAAAAGAAACTCCCTGAAGTCCTCAGTTTACTGTGCCAGCCTCTTTCCTGCAGCAAACAGCTGATAGAATTAACTCAGTGAAAAATGAAAACTAATCAGAAAGGAACCTGCATTGGACCCAGATTTAGCTATCAGCTAAGCAAAGCTAATAGCTTTAAACAAAAACAAAAGCAATACAAAGAAACCAGATCAAAACATATACCACAAGAAGAATTATACAAGAAAATAATATCTATTTTCCATACTAGCAAATAAATAGAAGACATTGTGGCCTCCTTAAAATAAAAGGTCAAGGCCAGGTACGGTGTGGCTCACACCTGTAATCTCAGCAGTTTGGGAGGCTGCGGCGGGTGGATCAGCTGAGGTCGGGAGTTTGAGACCAGCCTGGCCAGCATGGTGAAACCCCCTCTCTACTAAAAATACAAAAATTAGCCGGGCATGGTGGTGGGCGCCTGTAATCCCAGCCACTCGGTAGACTGAGGCAGGAGAATCACTTGAAGCTGGGAGGTGGAGGTTGCAGTGAGCCGAGATTGTACCACTGCACTCCAGCTAGGGCAACAGAGCAAGACTCTGTCTCAAAAAATAAAATAAATAAAATAAAATAAAATAAAATGAAAGTTCAAAAACTAGATAAACAGGATTGAATAAGTGATAAGACAAATAAGGAGAAATAAAATTGTCTGTGAGAGAACAAGAAGGAAGTAGAAGAAGAAAATAAAACTCTAATGGGACCAAAAACCATATAGGAAGCAAAAAGCTGGGAGAGGAAGGAGAAGAACTTCTACTGATATTACCACAATTGTGAATAAGAAAAATCAAGCAAATAAAAATTTAAAAAACAGTTTTTACATGATATGAAAAAGTGATCATTTTGATTGGCAACTCGTATCTCAGACAAAAATAGTATCTCCAAAAAATAAGAGCTCCTGCGAATTGATAAGAAAAAAGACCAATAACTTTTTAAAATTAATTTTTTGCTTAAGAGGCATTACAGAATTTACAGAAAATAAGTATGTATAGATATAGATAAAACAGTGTTCGGAGGAATATCCATATCTTTAAACATGACTATTACAGGAAAGAAAATAATTATAAACGTATTACCATTCATCTCATGAAGTTGGTTAAAAGAACAAAAAACAAATCTGCAAAGTAGAAACAAGGAATTGATTAAAAAAATAAAGTCAGAAGTTAAGGAATTAGAAAATAAAAAAGAGACACACTAATAAATCAAAGAGTTGGTTTTTTCAAAGAGAATAACAGAACAATAAACAAACCAATATCACATGATTTAATTACTAAATGAGAAATCCCACAAATGCACAAAATTGGAAATACAATGGGGAAATAACCAGAGAAATGGAGGAAATTAAAATGATTATAATGAATACTTTATATATATATGTGAAAAATTTGAACATAAGGGATAAATTTTAAGTAAATATAAATTACAGGAAAAGACTCAAGAGAAATACAAAAGAAATTCAGAAAGTTTCTGGGCTACCACTAAAATAAATAAATTGTGTGTATGTGTGTATACCTGTGTGTGTATCTACTAAATGAATAAATCAGTCAACTTTGTAAAGAGACAATTTTATTTCTTCTTACCTCTTAAATGTGTTACCAACTTTTTTCCATTAGCATTGAATAGTCAAGAAAACATCACACTAGATTTCTGTTTTTTCTTGCATGAGTAGATATCTTGTCTCATTGATTTGCTTTACTGAGTCATGTGGAGCCAAGTAGAGAAACAGGCTGACTCGGCATCCCTCACACAGATTTCTTCTGGCTTTAAGGGAGCCACCTAAGAGAGTTTGGGTAGACAGGATAATGAAAACAGCCCTGGTTTCTGGGCTTGGTTCTTTTTATATTGCTTCCTTAAAATATGCAGCATTTACAGCCATTGCTTTGTGGCTTTATTTTTTTTAATCCCTCAACTGAGACATTTAGACTAGATGAGTGGCTCATTTCTTTTCCCAGAAAAGTGTGCCTATCCACAAAATTTTGAGGCTACACAGTCTTCCCAAACATCCTCTCTCCACCTGGAGCTTTAGGCCATGGGTTAGATCATTTTAAATTACTTCAGCTCTAACATTCTACAGCCTCAGGGAATATACAGTTTTAAATTGAACACAAGCTTCAGAAAGAGTGATCGTTATTATGAGAAGCAGAACACAGTGATTACACTTTGACTCTGGAGCCAGACCACCTTAGTTCAAATTTTAGCCCCTTTATTTACATAATGCAGGGCCTTGGGTAAGTTACTTAACCACTCTGTGCTTTAGTTTCCTCGTCTGTAAAATGGAGAAAATAATAGTAATCACTGTAAATAGTAGTCACTAAAAAATAAAGGTTGTTATGAAGGTTAAATGGGTGTATACATATTAAGCTCTTACAGCATACCTCTTAATGAATGTGAGGGATTACTATGTTTCTTACTAGTTAAGATGAAGTATCTCAGCACAGAGATGAACACACCACCTATCTCGCTATGAACACACCATCTACTCCCTATGAAAAATCCTGTTTATATTTTGGTCGTGGCTGAAATATCAACTTTTTCCATGTGAACCTGTAATCGGGTCCATTATTCTGCCATAAAGTAGTAGTTATGAGTGTTGCTATATACAGGATGTTTTGGGAAAGATTTCCTGATTTTGGCCGGGCGCAGTGGCTCACACCTGTAATCCCAGCACTTTGGGAGGCTGAGGCAGGCGGATCACTCGAGGTCAGGAATTCAACACCAGCCTGGCCAACATGGTGAAACCTCGTCTCTACTAAAAATACAAAAATTAGCCAGGCGTGGTGGCGGGCACCTGTAGTCCCAGCTACTCAGGAGGCTGAGGCAGGAAAACAGCTTGAATCCAGGAGGTGGAGGTTGCAGTGAGCCGAGATTGCGCCATTGCACTCCAACCTGGGCAGCAGAGCAAGACTCCATCTCAAAAAAAAAAAAAAAAAAAGATTTCCTGATTCTATTGCCTTAATTTGGGGCTGTTATTAAGAATCTCTTATCAGATCCTCAGTAGAGGAGATGATTAAATTAAACCAGGGGTTAACTTGATCCAAGCTAGGCAATTATTTTTTCATATTTTCCTTGTTTTTGTAAAGTCTTTTTGCTATGCATGTGTATATAATCTGTGACCTAGGGACAACTACTTTCTTTGAAAACCATAATAACATGATAAGTATAAAATTATGTATTTACTTAACAATACAAAGCATATATCATTTTCCTTGAGTGGCAAAGTTGAGGAATTAATTAAAAACAAATAGTAGTTTGATAATTTAGTGTATAAATATCAACTGTCAATTAGAAAACAAAACACAAAACAATCACTGCATACAGTTTCAGGTAAGACTTATAGTTTGCTATGCCTTTATTCTCATTGGTAGAAAGCATTTTAATGATTTACTCATGGTCACAGAGGAAGTGTATCCAAGTTACAATTAAATTTCAAAATATTGAACTAGCTTATATAGAGCCAATTTTATCTTGAATTTAAAAACAGTTGTATAGAATAGAGTCACATAAAGTATCAAAGATTGCCTTGGTTGTATATGGAAGATAAAAGCCAGGTTCTTACACTTAAAAGAAATGTTGATTTATGTTGAATTTCAAAAGAAATGATTAGATTATCCCTGTTGCCTAGTTAGCACAATTGTCTCAGTGCTCTGACCTTGGTTTGTTAAAAAAAAGAAAAAAGAAAAGAAAACAGTGCTTTCCTAGGGAACCAGGGACTCTCTCAATACTTACCATGTTTATATTTTTACATGAAATTTAATATTTTGAAAATGTATGAACCCAACATGACTACTCTGTCTACAGGTTTTATGTTGGACTGTTGCCATCTGTGGTTGTGAAGCCAAGTGTTCTGCTGGGGCAGAATAATCAAATCAAAGTTAATGGGGTGACCATCTAAGCAGGGCTCTTTGTCATTAAGGTCCACTCTTGTGATAGTAGCACATTATCCTGCTGATTGGATTTGTAGGAAGGCATCCACCTGTGGCCCACATTGGCAGAGAGGAGACTTACTGCAGAGGCAGCCCTGGCGAAGGAGAAGCAGGAGGTAGCCGCCCTGGGCAGCAGATTCTTTTGCTGAAAAGCCAAAGCGTGCAGGACAGCATAAGCAATATTAGTAGATGGGTGATTGACATAGTATTTGGTTGATTTAGGTCCCAAAGTAAAGTAACCAAAGGCAGAGGATTAGAAACTGTATCATTAGAGAGGAATGACTTGTCTTGAGCAGGGAAAAAACAACTACATGTAGAGACACTGAGCCAGCTGATCAGACAAAATTTAAGCACGTGGGGCCCTTTACCTCCATCTCAGGAGTGATTTTTCTCTGTTTGGACGAGAGCTATTGTAAGAATTTCCATGTCTGTTGGGGGCACAGAGGTTCTCACAGACTATGGTAAACATGATTTGGCTCACACGCTCTCATAATCAGGCTGACTTGCACTGAAACAGAGAGTGCTCTATAGCGGTGCCAGGCCTCTAGCAGTACCAACTGTTAAATAATAAACAGGCCCTGTTTGTTGGCAGCCTCTTCCCCTCCTGCCAACATGGAGTGCCCATTTTCTGGGTTTACCTGCCCGCATGTGTTCAGACACTCAGAACAGTGTGTGTGTTGTGTGAGTTGGTGGTGGCATGGAGGCATCAGTCTACATCTAATCTGCTTAGTTTATTATTCTCTCAGGACCTCGGGTGAGCTAGCAAACACGCGGGGCTCTGGCAGCACGAACAATGGCTATGCTGTCATTCTAGATAATATTACAGGCTTTGCAGAGTGCATCAGCTAATTGTTTTTCTTATGTTCATTTTTGTTTCTTCAAATTCTCTCTCTTCCTTTGAGCTGGTTTGTAGGAAGTGGGGATTAGGAGGCATAAGAGTGGTTCTGTCAATTAGATGCATTACTTCCTGAAAGCTAGAAAGTATTTGGGTTGTTGGATTTTAATGCAGTATGTATATAGTTAATTCACATTGATAGTGAGCCACGCATTCAGTCAATCAACAAGTGCTTACTGAAGGCCCACAGGGTGCAAAGAACCCTGGACTAAGTGCTTAAACTTGACTCCATGTGCCTTACTGTGTTATTGCACAAGTGCTGGAGTAAGGTTGGAGTTTTCCCAGATTCCAGGTACCCAATGACTACAGTAGATTATGAAAGAGCAGTTCAGGTGAGAGCCAAGCTAGAAACACACACATGCAAACCTCAGAAAAAAAAGGATTCCCAAAAGTCCTCTATTTTGTCATGGAGACTTTTTTCTCCATTTCACTGGTCCCACGAAAAGGCCCTTGATAATCTGAGTTTTATATTGCATTTTTGGCCAAAGGAATTTCATATGTTTCACAGATGAAATAATTAAAAATAGACTCTCTTAATTCCTATAAACCCTCTTCATCCCCCACCCTCCCAGTAAAGCCCAGGATAAATAGGCCGTGTTACCATTTCCAGGAGGCTTTTGGTTGATCAGTGTAAATGAGGCATATTCAAAGTTGGTGATCAGGGATATGTAGTGTTAGGTGGGGAGGGTAACTATGAAGCATGTAGTGTTTCTTTTTTTTTTTTTCTCATGAACCAATTCTAAAGGTAAGGTCCCAAATCTGAAGTAATGACGGTATCCCTGGAGTGACTTTCTTCCAAGGTGACCATTGTGAAAAATAGCCCTTGTGAGAAGCCTATAGATTTGTTTAAAAAATTAGTCCGATTCCTTTATAATCATGGCTCACACATGATGAAGCTATTAATTGGTTGTGGTACTAAAACCATTTGCTTGAGTGAAATGAAACTTCTCCTCTCTCAGATCACTAAATATACTTTAACTGTGGAGTAATCATTCCGTTTCTTGGACTAAGATATTTTTAGATCAAGAGTAAATATTTGAAGTAAGAACTCTGGTGACAGCGCTGGGAGTGTTTCAGAAAGTTAGGATGGTAATCTCATATTCAGTCTAATTTTCCCTGAATTCATGCCTCAACAGTGTGTAATGAATACACTTATGGTGGAGTCATTTTCCTTTTATGAGAAATGCAAGGCCCCATCTTCTTATTATCTTTTAAGAAAGATTTCTCTGGTTTATAGTGTCAGAAGTGGTTTTAAAAATCCAGGCAGTATTGAATTCACACAGAATGGTTCAGAAAAGCCTGGTAGTAAAATTCATAGAGAAACAATTGTTTAAAATGCAACTAGCATTGTATAGCAAAATAATGAATTTGTATTCTCTACTAGTCTCCTGTTGGATCCATATCCTCTTGTCATTGAGTTCTCAAAGGTTTCATCCAAAAGAACTAGGCTCAGATTGATTACCCTTCATCCAAGCAATTTTGCCTGTTTGCACTAGGCCTCCTCCTAACTAGCAGGTCTCAGTGCCCTCACCAGGACACTCCCCAGATTGGCTCTAGGAGAGCTCTCATTTCTCCCTGTGTCAGGCTGCTTGCAGCTAGCATCAAACACAAGCTCACCTATGCTCTCGAGTTTTCAGCATTTAGTCTGTTGTGGATGGAAAAGTAGATATCAAACTCTTTAGAATTGTATCTAAAAAGAATAAAGAGCCTTTGAGTGAGGGCCTGAGGAGCAAGCTCTCTGAGGAGGAAAGCTCATCAGTATGGTGAATTCTCTCAGCTGCTTGACCGCTTTGTCTTCAGTGTTCCAGTGAATTGCATTTTGATTTCATACACATGCATACAAACACACAGACACACACATTATATAGGTATATGTAGGTGTGTATACAACCCTATTATACTCTCTATAATGTGTATGTCTCTAACATACATATCTCTTGTGTGTTTATCTAACCACCTATCTATATCTCTGGTAATTGTCATTGTTCCCAGTGATTTAGACATTAAAATCTATGAAAATAAGCAGCATCTTTTGAGTACCTATTTAAGCACCCACATACCTGGAAGTCCTCAAGGTGCTTATAAATTTCCACTAGACTCTTAATTCATATGGTCAAGACAAGTGCAGTTGAGCACCAATGTAGCATATTACCTTATTACTCATTAAAAAATCACTGCCCAATTTAGTGTTTCGCATAATATAAGAATGTATTTGTTGTATATAATAGAAAATATGTATATAATTACAATTGACATTGGTTGTTGGTAAAATGGGATTGCTGGAATAGCGCTTAAACAAAACAAATAGTACTGACCTATTAGAAAAATTAATTATGAAAGAAAAGTAATGGATTATAGTTGCAGATAATGGTTTTGGGGACACTGCTGGTTGAAATTCATCCTGAGGCTTATTTACAATTGGCACAATTAGAGCTTTTGAGAATTCAGCAGCCTTGATTTATTTGCAGGGGTTCATATAGCACTTGAGTCACGGGCGAGGTGAGGCACAGAGGTGGGTAGGGGACTTACTGCTTTACATTTAAGTTCTATGGAATTTCACATTTCTATTTTGGGGAAGAAAGGATTGTCTCTAGAGAGAGAGCATCAGGTTCTTTAACAAGATTTAATAAATTTGGGTCCTTGTATCGATCAAACTTCATACTAGATCAGATAACAAAAAATTGAATATGGCTTTGCACTAGAGGCTATTTTATTTTCTGTGCTGCCAATGAACTAAGTTTCTATAATTTTGCTTTCACTATTTGAAATTTTAATTTATCCATCAGATGTTTATTGATACCTAATGTGTATTCAGTACTTTACTAGCCACTTGGGATCCATCAGTGAAAAGATAAGTAACTCATGTAGTATGTTAGGAGATGATTAGTGCACAATTCATTTATGAATGACCCATAAAAGAATAAGTTGATAAATTAGATTTCATGAAAATTAAAAAATTCTGCACTTTGAAAACATTATTAAGAAAATGAAAAGGTAAGCCACAGACTGTAAGAAAATATTTGCAAAGAATATATCTGATAAAGAACTTATATCCAGAAAATACAAAGAACTTCGAAAACTCAATAATATACAACATATTATTTAAATGGGCAAAGATTTGATCAGGCACTTCACCAAAAAAAAAAAAAAAAGAAAAAGAAAAAGATGGTATATGATGAGCACATGAAATGATGCTCAATATCAATCATTGTTAGAAGAAGGCAAATTAAAATCATGAGACACTATTACACATCCTTTAGAATGACTGACATTTAAAAGACTGAGCATAGCAAGATTTTTGAGGATATGGAGAAACTGGAAGCCTCATAAGTTGCTGGCAGTAAAGTAAAATGGTACAGCCACTTTAGAGACAGTCTGACAGTTTTTAAAAAGTTAAATGTATGTTTACCATGTTATCCAGCCATTTCATGCCTACATGTTTACACAAGAGAAATGAAAGTTTTTTTTTTTTTTTTTTTTTTTTTTTTTTTTGAGACAGGGACTTGCTCTGTCAACCAGCCTGGAGTGCAGTGGCATGATCATAGCTCACTGTAACCTCAAACTCCTGGGCTCAAGTGATCCTCCTGCCTCAGCCTTCCCAGTAGCTGGGACTGTAGGTATGCACCACCACTCTCAGCTAATATATATATATATATATATATATATATATATATATATATATTTACTCCAGTAATTTTCTTATGCAACCATAGATCTATTTTCCATCACTACACAGTAGCTTACATTTCCTAGAATTTTATAAAAATTTGAATTCTATTATAAAAATAGAATCTTCTGTACTTGTTTTGTCCTTCTTTCACTCAGTATATTGACTTTGAGATCCATTTATGTCATAGCATGTATCAATAATTCACCATTTTTTTCGCTGCATAGTATTCCACTGTATAGACATACTATAATTTGTTTATCCATTCACTTAAGGATGGGCATTTAGACTGTTTACAATTTTTAGCAATACAAATAAAGTAGCAATGAGCATCTGTGCACAAGTCTTTATAAAAATATGGCCATGTGCGGTGGCTCACGCCTGTAATCCCAGCACTTTGGGAGGCCAAGGGGGGTGGATCACCTGAGGTTAGGAGTTCAAGACCAGCCTGGCTAACACGGTGAAACCTTGTCTCTACTCAAAATACAAAAAAAAAAAAAAATTAGCCGGGTGTGATGGCAGGCACCTGTAGTCCCAGATACTCAGGAGGCTGAGGCAGGAGAATCACTTGAACCTGGGAGGCAGAGGTTGCAGTGAGCCAAGATTGTGCCACTACACTCCAGCCTGGGCGACAGAGTGAGACTCCGTCTCAAAAAAAAATATATATATATATGCTTGGCTGGCCATGGGGGCTTATGCCTGTAATCCCAGAGCTTTAGGAGGCTGAGGTGGGAGGATCACTTGAGGCCAGGAATTTGAGGCCAACCTGGGCAACATAGTGAAACACCATCTGTAAAATATATGTATACGTGTATATATATTCAAGGTAGAATAAATAGATGCTTTGGAGCCAACTGACCAGAATGAAGACCTAGCTCCCCATTTACTGGCTTGAAATCTTGGGCAGATTTGCGTAATTTTTCAGATGATTTTTCTCTACTGTATAATGGAGATAATATAACTTAGAGTCCTGAAAAATAAATAAGACAAGGTACTTATAGTTCTTTCCTTGCCTTCAAATCTGGACTCAGGGGGAGATAGATTAAGGGCCTGCCTACATGGTATGAGTTGAGATAGGTGAGAGTAATGTTTTCTCTTATACTTGGATAGTACTTGTATTAGTCTATTTTGACACTGCTATAAAGAACTACCTGAGACTGGGCAATTTATAAAGAAAAGAGGCTTAATTGACTCACAGTTCTGCACAGCTGGGGAGGCCTCAGGAAACTTATAATCATGGCAGAAGGTGAAGGGGAAGCAAGGCACGTCTTACATGGCGGCAGAAGGACAGAAAAAGAGAGAGAAGAGAGAGACTGCCAAATAACTTTAAAAGCATCAAATCTTATGAGACCTCACTTACTATCACAGAAGAGCATGGGGAAAATCGCCCCCCTTGCTCCAATCACCTTCCACCAGGTCCCTGGGATTACAATTCAAGGTAAGATTTGGTTGGGGACACAGAGCCAAACCATATCAGTACTAGTGCAGGAATTCCACAGTTTGAGGAGATTCATTCTTTTTGGATCAAATGTTGCAAATTCTGGGATTTCTTTTTTGAAAAATACAAGAGGATGGCACACTAACCTATACGTTTCCATTACAATTTTCTAAATTCGTTGGTTGAATCAGTTTTCCTCCTTGCAACAGTGGCCAAGACAGTCAACTTCAACCATTTTTTAGATCTTAGTTGAAATATTACTTATTCTAAGAAGTGTTCCTTAACCTCTTCAGTGTAGGTTAGGTATGCCCTTGGTGTCTCCTGGTTCTACACTCCTCTTTCTTAACTTTTAGTGCATTGGTTCTTATGTCTGCCATTTTACTACTGTGTAAGCTCCGTGAAGGTAGAGACTTGGTGTGGCTTGTTAATTTCCATATCCACAAATTATCTTAATAACTAATTATTGAGTAAATGAACAAAAGTTTTTAAAGAAGGGGTAAGGTAGAGATGAGGGAGGTTGGAAGCTCTAAGAAACAGTTCTGCCACTCTCGAGTTTTGCCTCAGGTTAGCCCTTCTGTCCTTTCATCAGTTCCAGATGGAGAAAATTTTTAATATAATATAATGCAAAAAAACTTCACCCCTCTAAAATGACACCTAGGCAACAGTCCAGGCTAACAACAAAGAAGAAGCTATAAGGAGCTAATCCTTGGGAGTAGAGTAATGGCATGGAAAGAAAACTAATCTGGAAATAAAGAGATCCATGACCTCAAGCCTAACCTCTTGAAACCTAGATTATTTTTATCTTCAAGAAGTCCTGTTGCCCACCCTGCTTATCTTATAATTTTGTTTGAGAGTCAAAAGAGAGAAGAGAAGTGTGAGCCCTGAATTGCTGTAGAAAGTGAGAACTTACTATGAAGGGGGTTGTATAAAGTCTCATTAGAGGCAGCCTTGCTAGTCTTACTTAACCTTTGCAGTACTAAAGTTGATGTTCTCTGAACTCTCTCTTAGGCTCTCTCCTCACATTGGGCAGTCCTCCCAGGCAATCTCATTTTCTCCCATAGGTTTCATTAGCATCTGCATCTGAATGACCACCACATATTTCTCCAGCTCAGGCTTCTCTCTGAGCACTGCCTTCTAGACCTCTTCTCTTGGATGACTCACAGACACCTCATACTCAACATGTTCTAAACTCACCTCTTTGCCCCAAACATGCTCTCACCTCCAGTATTGCTACATAATTGCCGACATTAGAAACTTGACATTACCTTTTCCATATCCTGTACTGTTCCACATGCAGTCAATCACCTGGTACTTTTGATCTTCCTCCTAAGAATGTCCTTAATCTGTTCAATCTTCTTCATATCAGAACTACTACTCTCATCCAGGGTACCATCTTATCTCACCTAAGTTATTGCAACAGTATTCTGACTTCCTTAATATTAATCTTCCAGCCTGGCTCCTGTCTCATTTTCTAGACTGATTCATGCCCCTTTCCCCCTAGCATTCTATGCTCTAGTCATACTAAACGTGTTTTCATGCCTTCGGTGCACCATGCTCACTCTCATTTCTGGTCTTTGCATATGTTCTACTCTTTGTTTTGAATACTCTTCATTACTCTTTTCTTCCCCCATGTGCTCACCTCCACTGACATAAAACCAATCTTGCAAGTCTCAATTTAAAGCTTATTTTCTATGGAATGCCTTCCCCGATTCCCTAATTATAATTGCCTTACATTGCATTCCTGTAATGTGCACTTTATTATCATTGATTGTTTTGCCTAAATTATCCTTAAGGTAGGGAGTAGTATGTCTTATTCAAGGCTGCGTCTTTAGTGCCTAACACAATGCCTGACATTTACTAGGCATTTAATAATGCTTGTTGAGTGAATGAATAAAAAATAAATTACAATAGCTACAAATGATATTATAGCTAATTTATTACATATTTTACTTTTTAAAATTTTTAATTTTTTTCAAAAGTTTGTTGCTAGAAAAGTAAGAAAGATCGGTTCTTGAAAATTTATTTTACTTTCATTTATGCATTTTGAATAGCTCTCACTAGAGCCTCAATTTAGTATTAAGGAGTTATTCCAGAATAAGAGATACCTAAACTGCATGATTCCTATATTCTTCCTCTATAAAATTATTGTGAGAACTACTTTTTTTTGTCTGTTTTAATGTCAGGGATAGGAAGGTATCAATGGTGGGTATGAATTTGACTACTCTGTCCTAGAAATTATTATGCCCTTGTCAATTTTCTGAGACTAACATTTAGGAGAATTCTGTGATCACAATTTTGACTCTATATCTGACTTAAGCTCAAGCTAGACGCAAACATTTTCTACTAATACTCTGGCTTTTTCATTATTTCTCTATTAGAAACTATGGAAGATATTACAGATGAGACAGTAAAAGAACAGACTGAATATGGTTCCACTGACAACCAGGAAAGTTATTTGAAATGACATGAATAGTCAGGTTGTAATAAAGGTTTGTTAAAACATTTGGTATTGTACAACTAGTTTCCACATTAATCAATCCCATATGTTCTAATTAATACCTTGCTAAAATGTATGTTGATTTTCAAGGAAAACAACAGTTTTTAACGTCTGTAGACATGTTGCACATGCGTGAATTTATCATTAACAGGTTAATTGAGTACTGAATTGAGCAGAAATAACATATCACACAGCGACCCTGCAAGGGAAACTTACCATCATTTTACTAAAGAAGAACCTGAAGATAGAGATATAAAGTAACTTGTTCAAAGACACACAATTAGTATAGAGAAACCCCAGGTCTAAACCTAAA
Organism: Homo sapiens; assembly: GCF_000001405.40. Lineage (NCBI taxonomy): Eukaryota > Metazoa > Chordata > Mammalia > Primates > Hominidae > Homo > Homo sapiens. The sequence goes on along the minus strand of NC_000003.12, from coordinate 114,840,097 downwards.
TCTGTCTCACTCAAAATGTTTTTTTTTACTACATTGCATTACCTCTCTGGAAAACATAATTACTTGTTCTGGGTGTATTAATTTACTAGGGTTGCCATTAGAAATTAGCACAAACTTGATGGCCTAAAACAGCTTAAATTTAGTCTTTCCCAGAATTGGAAGCCAGAAGTCTGAAATCAAGGTGTTGGCAGGGCTACACTTTCTCAGAAGACTCTAAGTGAGGGGGAATCATTCCTTGCTTTTCCAGCTTCTGGTGGCTCCAGAGGTTCCTTGGCTTGTGGCTATGTAACTCCAGTTTGTGCCTCTGTCTTCACATGGCCTTCTGCTCTCTCTGTCTTCTCTTTTTTCTCTTATAAGAAAATGTTATTGGATTTACGGCTTCCCTGGGCAATCCAGGATTACCTCATCTAGAAATCCTTAACCTCATTACATCTGCACAGATCCTTTTTCCAAATAAGGTCACATTCTCAGGTTTCAGGGGTTAGAATGTGGGCGTTTCTTTTGGAAGGTCACCATTAGATCCACCACACTGGATATTGCAGAAATTGTTTTGAGAGATTCCTCTATTATAGATATATCTGAGATTTCCTTTCTTTCTCTCTCCCTTTCTTTCTCTTTCTTTCTCTCTCTCTTTCTTTCTTTCTTTCTTTCTTTCTTTCTTTCTTTCTTTCTTTCTTTCTTTCTTTCTTTCAGACAGGCTCTCACTCTGTCACCCAGGCTGCAGGGTGGAGTGCAGTGGTGTGATCTCAGCTTGCTGCAGCCTTGACCTCCTGCACGCAAGTGATCCTCCCACTTCAGCCTCCCAAGTAGCTGGGACCATAGGCGCACACCAACACACCAAGCACAGTTTTGTATTTTTTGTCGAAATGGGGTTTTGGCACATTGCCAAAGCTGGTCTTGAACTCTTGAGCTCAAACAATCTGCCCACTTTGGCCTCCCAAAGTGCTGGGATTATAGGCATGAGACAGCGAGGCAAGCCTATCTTTGAACTATTTAATGGTCAAAGTTTTGCTAATGTATATACAGGGAGGAAAATGGCTGGTTCATGCTGATTCTCCATCAGGGCTATCAGTAAAAGAGTGAGTGACACTGTAATTAATAGAACAGGAATGATAACATCTTATAGGGGTGCTGTTCCTGCTTTTGGAATGGCTTCTTTAAATGTGGGATGCATCTACCCCATTTGGTTGTAAATGGAAACATCAGTAAATAAGTTTAAAGACATCCTTGTTTGCCTCTCTGATGGCAAACTCCAATCCATACATCCACTACAGTCTATTTTGGTATATCTTCTATGAATTTCTCCAACTTCTTACTTAAGTTTTGCTACCTTCCAAGGCAGGCATTAAAAAAAAATATGGAATAGTGCTTTATTACCTGACCCTATTTGTACTTTTCTGAATATGAAGTTTGACCTCTAGTATTACTATTCTAGGATTTCATGAATAATTCTATGACTACCCTCTGCCTAAATTTCATAACCCCATTACATATTAGATCAGGGTTCAGTGCCCTGTCTTCTTTTAACTTTTCAGAGACTTTCCCCCCCCAGTCACACCATGGATCTTCAATTCCAGGGCTCTACACATCTCTCTCCCTTTAGGCCCTCATGATTGTGGAGATTGCAAATGCATCATTATGTCCATTCGAAGATGTCAAAACTTTACATAAATATATGGAAAGCTTTCTAGCCTATTTTCAGTACACTTGATGAGTTCCAAAATTTTATTAGTCTTTTTGGTTACAGTCTCATATTTAAGCTAATATAATTAGGAAACAATTGAAAGTGGTTCTTAAATTCTTTTTTGAGTTAAACCTGATGTATCAAATACCATCATTATAAAAACATGATTTGTGTTATTTTCCCTAAAAATGCTTCCCTTGCATTTATACTTATTAAGAATAGATAATAGCTAACATCTATCCACTGCCTTTGATTCATGAGGCCCTCACGAATTGCCTCATTAGGTCTCCGACAGTATGGTACAACTACTCTTTATATTTTACAGATGAAGAAACTGAGGCTGTACTGCTACTTTCTGCTTACACATCCTAATGAAACCTTCCTACTGGGGTGATCTCTTTTGGTTTGAATGTCACTACTTGAGTGAGATTTTATTCACTACTTTTTCTTGATCATTGGCAAAATGTCCAATGGAACTAATTCATGAGAGAGTCATTTTTTAAATTAATTTGTTTACTGAAAGTCCGAAATTTTTCTGAACACTAAGAATGTACTGGTAAGCAATTATAATAGGCAGCTTCTAAGATGGCCCCACCTGATCTCCACATCCTCTATTTTCACCTGCTTGTCTAATTTCCTCTCCTTTAGTATTGGCTGGACTTAGTGACTCATTTTTAATAAAGGACAGAAGTGATAGGATGTCACTTCCAAGGTTAAGTTTTTAAAAAGCTTGTGGTTTTTCTCTTGAGTCCCTCTATCACTCTCTCCCGGATTGCTCTCCCTGAGAAAAAGCAAAGTCCAAGTCATGAAGTAGCCCTGTGTGAAGACCCCTGTGTGAAGACCTTCACATGTGAAGACCCCCACATGGCAAGTCTCCTCCTCTTCAGTCGAGAATTCAGATGAAACCACAGCTCTAGCTGACAGTTTGATCACAACCTCATGAGAAACTTTGACCCATAGGCACCTACCTATACTGAGCCCAGATTCCTGACCCACAGAAACTGTGGAATGGTGTTTGCTTTTTTAAGTTACTAAGTTTGGGGGTAAGTTGTTATGCTGTAATAGATAACTAACACATCCAAGAACCTCATCCTCATGGAATTTATACTGTAATAGAGATTATGAACATACAGGTACATGTGCATACTCACATACATACAGGATGTAAATAAGGAAGATACTAGTAATTAGTTCTAAGAGAAAAGTAAAGCAGGGTAGAATGAATTGGGGATGCTTTGGCTATCTTGGCCACACAAGGAAAGACCTTTCTGTGGAGATAATATTTGAGCTACGAGTGAAGAAATCAGTCATGCAGAGATGTAGGAACAGAGCAGTCTGGGCAGAGGCAATATAGCTAGACCAGGGCTAATAGGAATAAGATTGGCTTGTTTTAGAGACAGAATAGGCAAAGAAGCACGGTGAACAAAGGAAAAATGTTAGAAGATGAGAACAGAAAGATGGTCATGAACAGATAATGGAGAGACTTACTGGTCATGGTTTTGAATTTTAATTTCTTCTTATTGCACTATATATAACTTGTAGAATTTTACCAAAGGAATGATATCATCTTTCCTGCATTTCAAGAATTCTAGCTTCTGTTTAGATAATGGATTATAAGGTGCAACAGTGGAAGCAGAGAAATCAGTTAGGAGACCAGATAAGAGATAATTGTGATTTTTGTTCGTGATAGCAGAGATAGTGAGGAATGGTCGGGTTTGGGATGTACTTTTGTGTTTGGGTTAATGCGGCTTATTGATGGATTAGATGTGGTGGGTGAGGCAAAAAGAGTTGCTGATGTTTGGCCTGATCAACTGTCAGGGCAGATGGTGGCACCTTTCACTGAGACGAGAGAAGTACAGTTAGATTAGAGGAGGAAGTGGCAACATGGATAATAGGGAAACCAGAGTTCTGTTTGGGGCATAAATTAGTTTACAGTATGTAGAACTAACAAGAAAAGTGCTCATTATTGCTATTCTATGTTTTAAGCCAGTTCTTGCTTTGGAAAACCATTTCCAACATCTTGTAGCATCTTGTTTCCATATACTTCCATTTTTTAAAATCTTTGTGGTGGAATTTTTTCAGAGGCTATTTGAGAATTTGTAAGTAATATATACTGACTCCCACTTTTCAATATAGCAAGTTAATCAGACAAAATATCTCTTATAGAATGCTAGAAAATCCACTGAGGAAAAAGTCAGTGTAGTATTTTGATTATAATTTATTAAAACACACATATCAAATACAAGATAACCTTTGGCCTTTCCTTGAGTCAGACTTTGTTATAGCTTCTAATCATGTCTTGCCCTATTCATTAGCAGCTCATTCATTTCCCTTATGCCACCTCACTCACCTTAAAATTTAAGTTTTAGCAGCTTTGCTGTAAGTCTTATAAGTGCAGTGGGGCATTTGAATGGATCGTTGTTTCCCTTCTTCTAGAAACTCTGCAGTGAGAATAAGTAGTAAGAATAATTGTGGCTACATAGGTGCATTTGTTCCCTAAGACAAAGTGATCAGAGAACTCCAGGGGAAATGCTATTAATACCAATATTGTTTTGTAATGAAAGGGTTAACAGCTGTCAAACTCAATGTCTTAAAGATTTACAAAAAAAGAAAAAAAATGTCATCTAGGCTGGGCAAACATCAGTGCCTGGCATGAGGAATTAGCAAAAAGGTCTTTAGGTATCTATGGACTACCAAATATGCATGATTCTCTAGTCCACTAGAAAATTTAGAACTGATTCTCAAATACTAAAATATGAAACTGAGGGGCTTATACTTGATCTGCTAATTCTGAACCAATGTATTGCAACTACTGTGCATTTTGAGATACTATTATGAACTGGCGTATTATAAAATTAAATTGTATTGTATAGTTCATTGTATTGTTCCATCAGATTTTGATATCCTCACTTTAAATAATTCATGGGAAGAAATGATCACTTCATAATGCCACAAACTCACAGCAGGCAAAACTAATTTTACACAATATGAAAACAGATTTTATTTATTTAAAAGGAATATTAAAAAAACAACTTTTTTGACACCAGCTGCTGGGAAATAAATAGAATACTTTATGACAAAAAAAAATCCAAATCTATAAAAGCTCTTCCTGGGAGATCAAGTTGAGAATTGTAAAGATACATTTAAATTCCCTAGTCAATGCTATAAGCCTTATTTTGAGGGAAAAAGAACTCTCCCATCTGCTTACTCTGTGGGGATAAAGCGATACTGGGAGAAAATTGACTTTACAAAAGCCCTCCTGAAACCTTTAGCAAGCTTTAGGTGTCACTTCAGAGACCCCCTATTAGTATAAATAACATCAGTGGGTAAACAGTAGCTGGTGTCCTTAAATACAAAGTAGAAATTATTGTTTAGCTTTGTCCTAACCAGACCTTGATTAGAAGTGGGAAAGAGTATTTTGGGGTGACCACAACAACTTTCCTTTCACTGTGGCTTTAAGAATGGAATGAGAAAATACGGTGAAAATATAATGAAACTGTTTTCTTTGGGAGAGTTTATTAGATGAATATTTTAATACAAATATAACATATTTTAATACCAAAGATAAAAAAAATCCAGGCTTTCTTTTCAATGTGATAACGACTCCATATCTAACTCAATCAGACACTTGCTTCAGACAAAGAACGGGACTCTTGCCATGGGCGGGTCTGGGTTTAATCTCAGGAGCGTGAGGGTCCAGGCATCCAGACAGTTTGCAGCCCTCTTCCCTGAGGCTTCAGGGAGAGAGAGAACAAGGGTGGAAAGGTGCAAGGATTGGAGCAAAGGAGCTAAGAGGTGGATGGAAAAGAGAAAAAAGAACAGCCTAAAATAAAATATTTTAGCACCAAAGCAATGAAAATACATTCTGTGGATAATGTAAATGCTATTTATTGAATTTTTACTTTTCAAAAATGTTTAACTTAAAAATTCTTGCTGACAGTGGGAATGTAAATCTAAGACTAAGAGACGAACTTACCAGAAGAAGTTTATTATTGTCTGATAACAGCTGAATTCCGGTCTTCTTTGGGTACTGTAAAATGGGGCAGATTTGTATATCTGTGATGTCATAGGCACTGTTGGAAGGGCTTGTCTCTGGTTTTGTCATAAGTTTCCTACTTGAGCAGTTATAAGCCATGAATTAGAAATTCATTTTAGATTTTGAAGAGTTACAAATTTGGAAGGATCTAAGTTAGGCTCTATTATTCTTTAACTTTTTAAGATATAAAATATTAATACAGTGTAGCAGAGATTTAAAATTTTTAATAGGTATTACCAAACTGCTTCATAGCATTGGTCTTTTCAGTAGCTATTTGTATTTTCTAAGGCAATAGCAATATACACAGAAAATGGGTTTTCTTTGTCCTTACTATATCAGTGCAATCTAATACGTACATTAGTTAGTGAGATTGCTTTGGGAAAAATAGAAAGAACATTGAGATTCTAAAACAGGATGTCTATGTTCAAAGTCTGGCTGAATTTCACTTACTACTTGTTGAACTTGTACAACTTATTTTAACCTTTCCTTGCCTTATTTTTAAAATTTTGCAAAATGGTGTTAATATTACCTATCTATAAGACCCTCGGCCAGGTGCAGTGGCTTATGCCTGTAATCACAGTACTTGGGAGACCAAGGAGAGGATTGCTTGAGCTCAGAAGTTTAAGACCAGTCTGACAACATAGTGAGAACCTGTATCTCAAAAAAAAAAAAAAAAAAAAATTAGCTAGGTGTAGTGGTATGCATCTGTGGTCCCAGCTACTCAGAAGGCTGGGGCAGGAGGATTACTTGAGTCCAGGAGGTAGAGACTGTAGTGTACCAAGATCACACCATTGCACTCCAGCCTAGGTGATAGAGTGAAACCATATCTAAAAAAAAATAAACAATAAAAAAAATTCTCTTGTTACTCACTGAAATAATGGAAGAGTTTCTGGGATAAGCTTAGAGAGCCATAAAAATGTTGATTTAATCCTATTAATAAATAGTATATAAGTTATGTTCTTCAAAGGCATTTGTATTTTAAAGTATTTAAAGTGTTGCAGTTGTATTGTTGCATTTTAAGGGATGACTGTACAGATGCTATGTAATATGTGTAAAAGTTACTCTCTTTCTTCTGAGTGTTTTGCTGTAATACAACCAGAGTTATAATGCAAACATTTACCAAAACAACGCTGGTATAGCAATGTTAGTATTCGGCAACCTGAGTTGTACTGTAATAACTTTTCAATAAATCAAAATATGTGAACCAGACTATTTTCTTATGTATAGAAGAGATATGTTATTTTAGAATCCTATTTAAAATATAAGAAATGAATCAAAAACTTCCAAAATTTTAATTTCTTTGATTTTTCTAGGATTTCTACCTTCTAGAATATAAAGCTCTTATTCTTTTTACTGAAATCTTAGCTTTACTTCAGCATCAAGCTGCTTCATAATGCAAGGGCTAACAGTTAAAATGAGAGTTAAATATCATTTAAAGAGAATTATTTAACGGCCGTGTTACTGTTATGAAATTGTACATGTTCCAAAATAAGTCTAGTCACCTTCACACCTACTTAGACTGATTCCATAAGTCAATCACCAAACACAAAATTTTGGCCTAAAATATTCGTTAATATTTATGTACTAACAGGAATGTTCACGTCTAAGCGGGAGAAGCCAGGTTCACTCAATTCACAAATTTAGTATCTAAGATTTGAAATATCATAGCTTTTTGTGCATTTAAAAAAATTAGACTTACATATTGACTTTGAGCCTAGAGAATTTTAGAAATAGAAAATATAACGTTTCATAGCTTTTAGATTTACAAGGACATCATTTTTATTTATAGAATAATGCATTGTGCTTAATTACAAAATATCAAAGTTTTTGTCATTAGTGAATTTAGAGTGGCTGTCCCCTTGTTCCCTTGTGGAATTTACTTTGTTAGAATAGATTGCCACATTCTTTGAAGACAATTGCCTTGATACTGATACCAGTCACCATGCCTTCACTAGATCTGGGGATGGACAATAAAGTATATGAGGAGTACTGGCATACTAAGTCATAATAAAATTAGCTAAATGTTCTATATATCAAAGAATGAGGTGATTTTGGTAGGTAAAAGGTAGTCCAACCTGCACTTCTGTTGAAAAAAAATGACTGTTGTATCAACCTGGTATTCCATCCAAACCTGAATTTGAGTTTATCCAAAGAGCTGCACTGAAATTCAGCAAGATAGCATGGACTGGGCCAGGTGTTGCAGGCAGAGGACAGGATTTTACTGGCTTGGCAGAGTAGGACTTTAGGTTATTTCCTCCAAAGTGACATTAAATTCCTCTCTGTGCTATCACAACACCTTTTGTTTTTTCAGACCTGTCTATAGACTCTCAGAGGCTTATTCTGTTTCGTGAAAACAATGCAGATAAGCTGATTGAAATGTCAACAGATATAAACATGCAGATAAAATGTTAGTATGTAATGGTAGTTTTCAAACATAATGAGTAATGAAATTTAAGCAGGGTCCAGGTGGAATAGGATCCTAGAATCCTAGAATAAAAACATATCATTTTAGAGGCAGAGGTACAGTCCCATTCCTCTGTTTAAAAAGATGAGGTAGATAAAGTCCAAGATCTTTCATCTGGAGTGTTTGAAAGAGTTGGGACTAGAAGCACATCTCTGGTCTCCAGTCAAGTGCCTTTTCTAGTTGAGCTTGACTTCTTTATATCTGGATAATAAAATCAATCTCATACAATGATATAGGTCATATTTTTCCAAGGCAGTTAAGTATTCATTCACTCCTATACCATCAATAATAATGACAAACATTTATATAAAGCTTACAACCTAGGCAGTACCCTAATTGCTGCCTAGCAGGCTGTAAGCGCTATATGAATATTGCTGTATGAATGTTGCCTGACGTGAAGAGTTAGACACTGTAGAGTAATTTTCCTTATATTGCCTTTTGCTTAATATTGCCCCTCTTTTAAATCTTCACAAGAGCCACATTAACTAGGTACTGTTGTCCTCATTTCATAGTTGAAGGAGGAAACTGAAGCACAGAGACTTTAAATATATTCACCAAGGAAATCGAGCCATTAATTGGTAAAGCCTGGATTTGAACCCAGGCAGTCTGGGTTTCTGAGCTTGCGCCCTTATCCACTATACTGTGTATTGTTCCAATAATTTTTAGTTGCATAAACGCTTAGAAATAGCATTTATAAGTTCTCTGTGCTCCAGAAGAACCAGTTTCAAGAAAGAATAAAATATATGTAAATAGCGGATAAACCCATTATATTTTAAAAAGGTTGGAGGCACTGGATACTAAAAAAAAAAAAAAAAAAAAAAAAAAAGAAGAAAGAAACCATAAGAGAAATATGATAGGTATGGGGGGAAGGGATTTTAATTGTTCTCAATGACTGTAGAGCAAAGTTAGATCCAATAGGTAGGAATTGCAGGAGATAAATCCGGGCTTAATATGGCAGTGCAGTGACCAGAATAGGCAACCTTGTTAGTGAGCCCCCTATCTTTTTGTATTCAGGCTGTGTGACTGGTCCCTATTGCTACAGACAGGATTGCTGCACTGGAATAGTACATTTGGAGCGCAATTATGCTCAGTTAGGTCAGAGGTAAGAGACGTCATTAAATTTCATCTGAAATTATATTGTAAAATATGTAAGGGCAAGAGCTCCAGACAGATCTGACTTTGAATCCTGGCACGATCACTTATTTGCTGCAAGAATTTAGTCAAGTTACTTAACTCTAACTTCTCTGAGTCCCAGTTTCCTCATCCATGATTGGGATAATTGTACTAATCTCCTAGAGTTGTGGTGAGGAGGAGTAAATAAGATCATTATCTAAAATGCCTAGCACTGTGCCAGGCACATAATAAGTGCTCAGGGTATATTAAATTTTTCAGGAGTGAGAGACTCATTAATTTTTCAAAAATGAACTACAGTCCTAATTATTCTCTTATTTGGGAAAGGAAGCTTGGCTTAGCAGGTAATAGGACTTTATGCTCACCAAGCTCTCATTGCCTTTGGATAAGGAACCATGAACCCTGGATAGTGAAAAGTCCTTGTAAAGGAAGCTTTATAAATCAACTTATTTAAAATGCAATAGAGCAGCTTATGATTTAAAAGCATCCTGTGGTGAATCCTTTTAAAATGTGAATAATCACCCCATAATTTGTCTGTTTGGTAAGTTCAGAATTTGGCTTATTGTGTCTTCTTAAAGCAAAGAGTACACCTGCACTCTTATTTCAGTATTTTCATGCTGGGCTGACTTTCAGAGAAATACAGGGTGCCTCTTGGATTCAGGATGGCATAGGTTAGGGAACGGATGAAACATGCAAGGTCCCTAAAGTCAGTGAGAACATTAATTGTACTTTGTGATGCATACATTTTAATGAGTATGAAAACTCATAGAGATCAGTTGACCTAGACTGTATCGAGGATCATTGCACATAGGAATGCTGTCTGACTTGAAGAGTTAGACAATGAAGAGTAATTTTTCTTATACTGCCTTCTTTTTCTCTGAAATTTCAAGGAAAGTCAACATGAAATTTTGACATGATATACAGATCCTTTATGAAAAACCAAGCAGCACTGGAAACCTTTGCAGTAGAAAGAACACTAGATTAGGAACTGGGGACTCTGAGTAAGACCTGCCATATGCTAACTGCATGGCATGGGATAGCACGCCACTTTTATTCTTTCTTTGTCTTAGTGTTCTAATTGTAAAATAATGAAGTTATACTTGCATCTCCCGTGTAACTTCTACCTAGAATCTTTAGTGAGCTGATTCATAAAACCAGGTGTGAAATTACTTTGTTTCATTCTCTCCAATAGAAAAATTAGAACAGGAAATAGTAGAAACAGTACTTAAGAGGTTATTTTCTATTGGCAATACTTGTTACTCTGCCTTAGCTTGAACTCTCTTTTGCCTATATGAAGATTTATGAAACATTTTATTTAGCTGTGATACAGAGATTAATATAAACGTGGGAAACTCAGACTAAATGTTTTCTTTTTTCCTATCAGCTGGCAAACATTGACCTGTGTTTGAAGAAACTTGAATATATTTGAGAGAAAATGACCTCTCCCACAAATTAATTAAATCTGAGACTAAAATAATTATATCTCTTCATTGATTCCCTTTATTTTCACAGTATCCATGGGAATTTTGCCAGTTCTTCATAGAGTGATTTAAGCTTATTGACAACCCACTTGGATGAAATACAGTTTGAATATATGCTGGTGACTCTGTCCTTTGCAAGTTGAATTGGGGAATAACATACATCAGATAGGATACTTAAGGAGCCCTTTTTGAGAAGCACCATACAGTTTAAGAGCCCAGGTGACTGCTTTATAAGAGATCTGAGACCACTTTAAAGATCCCCAATTTTTCACACTGGTTGCAATCCATGCAGGATGTTGAAAGGAGCTAGAATCCATAAGTGACCAGGCTTATCTTTTTATCAAATAGGCATTTAAAACACATCTTTATGCAGATTCATATATTGTAAAGGGCTACTATTCAGGACCCAAATTTCTAATTTGTCAAAAGCCTCAAGCTGATTTTAAGAGAAACTTAAACTTAATTCAATTAAGGAATAATGAAACTGTAAGTTTAGCCAAATTGGAAGTGCCTTCAAAGACTTAGCATTCCATAGTCAACCTCAGAATTTTACTGTCAACCCTAAAGATGCTAAAACTATTGAGTTTTCAATTATGTGTGATAAGAACATCACCCTGCATAATGGCTAGTAGCCATAATTCTTTACATCCTGAAAGTGAAGAAGAATTTTACTGAGTCACTCATTGCAATTCTTAAGAAAATCACTATGCATTGATATATGCCATTGCCAATATTTTAATGTAGAAATAAATAACCTTCTTAATCTTCTAATAAACAAATAGAAACATTAAAAAGTTAATCACATAACAAAACAATTTCCATGTTTCATTTTCTCTTAAAAACGTAGCAAAAATGGAAAGTATATAAAAAGCGATTATCATTAGAAATAAACAGAATAAGTCATTAAACGTGAATTCCAGAAAGGTGAAACTGCATTTATAGAAAAAATTTCAAACATATGGTGTAGAGATTAAAATTTAATTATATGTCATCCTGTTGGAACGTGTTATAAAAATATGTATGTGCAATAAAGGGTCAAGAAATATTTATTCAGTACTTACTTGGTGCTCAATATTTGATGTCATGAGACATATGAATAATACATATATAAATAATTGAAATTTATTCTATTTGACAATCAGACTTTCTCTACAGATCTTATGGAATAATAATTCTTCCAATAGGTATATAAATTATGAACCTATTATAAGATTAAAATATGTTTGTAAAACATATATTTGCAAAAATAGATTTATCAGTTAATCCCCATTTAATCTTACTTTGATGTATTAGGAAGTTTCTGTGGTTGTTTAATAGAATGTAGACTTTTGGAGACCTCTTAAGATCTCTTACCTGTCTTAAATTTGTGAAACTCACAAGTGTACTATCAGTAGAAACAAGGAAATTACACAGGAAAATAAAAAACCAGGCCCAGGGTCTGCTGGAGATATCTTTTAATTCTATATTGAAGTATTGGATATGGGATCCATGATGGAGTCCAAGTTATACTAGGCAGAATATATTATCTAAGCAATACTTGGTTCTTATTGAAGAACTGAGAAGTCATGAAAGCCCAAGAGCACCCTCTAGTGAAATTTCTGGAGTAGGCTTAAGGGGCTTGCTCTTGACCTTAGCTCTCCCCCTCACATGACCTTTGATCTCCCAAAAGATAGCAGTTATATTTCTAGAATTTGGCTTTATCATCAAATCATTTCCAGATCACAAAGAAGGTGGGCTGCTTGTCAAGTATTACTACTAGTAGATATGCTTAAGCGCTAAGACCTACTATTTCATTGTTCTCATGATTTTTGTTTTTGCTTGCAGTATCAGCCTACCGTGTTAAAATAGTTTCTGGAACTAATATAACTAACGAACTAATGGGAAGCATTACAAGTGTGTAGCTGAATTGTAGTACCTTTGTCCCGGCCTTTACCTTTCTCATGCCTCTGACTTTTGGCTTAAGTACACTATATACAGAAACTGTATTAATACTTGCAATATTCGAGGTCAGGGGTAGCAGGTGAGATTTCCAGTAGAGGTCAAAAATTACAGGAGGAGTAAAAAGTCTTAGTATTCATGGACTTCTGAGTTTTTAGAGAGATGTTTACAAAGCAAGCCTGATCTTAGCTATAAGTTAGTTAAAGCTGTGAGTATAATACTATTCATTTTGATTAGCAACTATTATGTAATACATGAAGCAAGGCAAATTATTAATTGACTTTATAGATAATTTGCTCTAAAATTATGATTGGTAAGGAATTTAGAGATCTAAATCCTCCCACTTTAGGGAAAAAAACCCTTACGCACCTAAATGTTAAGTAGCTTGCTCAGCATGACACAAATATAGCATCAGGGCTACAACATACATACCTTGTTCAATATCCTACAAGAACCTGCTTATTAAGGAGGTTTCAATATTCTTTCACAATTTTATTCTTATTAGTTTTTTGGTTTTTTATGGTTCTAATAACTTATAGACATGTCTTCATACTTACAGGAAAAGAAAATATGTAACTTCCAAGGTCATCTTTTTTCTATCTCTGCTTTCATGTAGGAGGCTTAAGTCACTCTTGTGATTACTATTAAGATGAAGTAAAAAACATAATGCTTTGATATAAATCAAACATTAATTCTTGAAACACTGTGCCACACAGTGTTCACGTTGTGCACTGAAAAAAAGTGGAGGGACCCATATGTCAGACTGATATTCTAGAATTACTGATAACCACCTCTGAGATTCTGTACTTCAAAATTGTTTCTGTTTTTATTAGTACCTACTTCCTAGTGTTCATGGAAGGATTCGGTGAATGAATGCTAATAAAGCATATGGAACATTGTTGGCATTGATTAATTGTTATACTGAATGCTGATGTCTAATTTGAAAAAGGAACAAGACATTTTGGGGATTATCCGGTAGGGGTATGAGCTATGAACTGTATTAAATTTTGTGGGGGGAGATTACAGCCTGATGTCTTTCTTGGGGGAAAAAACCTCTAAGATATTCAAGTTGTTGTTTTCCATTGAAAATGAATGTATAAAAATGACGATTTGGGAAGACATATTACATATTAGGTCAAAAGTGTATGATTCATTTCTCAATTCATTACTATACTCTCAGTCTTGGCTTTAATCTCAACCATACCACCTGTGACCTTAGTATACAACCTTTCCTTCATTCATATTATTGTTGATATTCAGAAGGTGAGGTGGTTGTTTATGGCAACTAAAGGCAAAATTACAGAATTTTGATTGTTGGAAAGTTAATAATTCAGTGATAGTTTTATTCCCAGTTCTTTTCCTACTTTGCTATTCCTCAACATACAGTGTTGGTATTTAGAATCTTAAAACTAGAAAACTTTAATGCTAGAAGTGATCATAGATACTGACAAGTCTGATTCATTTATCTTACAGTTGAAAAAATTAAGACCCCAGCGAGGAAGAAAACTGGCCAAGTTTAATTCTACATACTGACTTTCAGTGATAGGTCACATTTCCTTATTTTTCTAAAAATAATTGACTCTGGAGAAACAATTGATTCCTTAATACTGCACTGATGTGCTGAACCAATAGATTTACCAACGTAAATCAATGTTATCTGTGAATAGACAGTACACAGTATTTTAAACCTATCTATTCAGTAGTACGGTACACTGCCTTTTAATTCCTGTCGCTTTGCGATGATGCTATAGCTCACACCGAAACTCTTAAGTGATTATCTTTAAGGATTTTCTTCTCCAGCTATGAGTCTAAACAGTCTGAGTAAAGAGGCTGCATGGTCTCCCCATGGCCTCCTAAATGTTTTTAGGAAGTGGAACCCCCTTCTGGAGTTATGAGAGAAACATCACTTCTAAAATGCCTTTAAAAGTACTCCAGCATTAACATTACACTGGAACATTTCATTAGCTTTTTGAGAACAATAAAGAAATGTGGAGCATAATAGGCTAATATGTTTAAGTGGCCTTGGTAGAACCCTACTTAACTCAGTGGGATTTTCTGCAGCATGCAGAGGTGGAAAACCATTCCTTACATATTTATTGTGTAGGACTGCCTCCTTCTTTATTGCATGCAATTTATATCAAAGAGAAGTGACTTTCCACCTGTAATTCTAAAATCAAGCAAGTCTCAAAATACACAATTAGAAGAATCAATGTTTAGATATGATGATCAGCAACCAGCAGTGCTGACTTTTGGCACTCTGAATTTCTGTCAGTAAAGATGGTAGAGGAGCCAACTTGAATCTCAGTATTTCCTGGCCTTTTAGGACTTAAATTTTCATCAGGGTATTAAGATCTATGAAGTATCTGAGTTCCTAAAGAAAATGTGCGATGTGAGTCAAACCTCATTGGTCACAAATTACAAAAATTAATTCAATTAATAAAAGTTATTCTCTTACTAGCAATAAAGCTAGCTAGAAAACTTTTCTGCAAAATATTTTGCATTAAGTAAAAATATAAGCTAATGAAAAATACAAAGTGGTAGTTTTTATGGTTTTATTAGGATTTCAAGTGAGTATACTTGCTATATTGCTATTCTTGCAGTATAATATTCTGCCAGTACTCTTTAGCTCTCTGAGCTTCTATTTTCTGTGGTATAAATTGGGACTCATTAGTCTTAGGGACACTGTGATCATTGTGATTTGTTTGAGCTTTTAGGAAAAAAGGTGTAAATTAGGCCCACAATTACAATATTTTAAGCAAGTTCAAACAAACATACATGATGACAAAATAAAAGTTTCCACATATATATTAGTTTCCTTTCTGCCAACAAGTTGTCACCAAAATTTATTGGAAAGACCGAATTCCTGTTTGTGTGGCATTGAATTAATGATATTAAAAAAAGCCTCTTGAGTGACAGCTGGAGTGGCTGAAGTGGCATATTTAAAACATTATGTTTGTTTGTTTCACTTACTGTCAAACTCTGTCTTAGAAATACTATCAACTGGTTATATTGATAGATAGAAGCTGTCTTTTAGTTTCAGGATATGTTTTGTATCAAAGTTTCTCTTCATTGGTTTTTGGGATCTATATGCAAAATAACATATAAACACAAATGTAAAACCCAGCTGTAATTGTCTCTTAGCATTTGATGACATCATAAATTCCTTAAGATTTATGCTCATGTTGTATTGTAAATATCACCAGAACCACTTAGTATGAGGGTGAAAATGCTAAACAAAACTTATTGAAAATAATGCATATACTTATTTTTCACTTTGAGGAGCGTTTCCTAGCTACCCTATTTACCCCAGTGGAATTTCACAAAAATGTCCCTGGCACTCAAAGTTTGTCTAACAATGAATCAAGTGGGCTTATTTTAAAATTCACCCCTAAATATGTTTGCTGGTTTTGAAATTCTGATTTTGTGCTTATGTAATTCAAAAACAGCTTTGGTTTAAAAACAAAATTTGGCAAAAATACTAGTGCATTATGTGTTTTAATCACGTATGGTGTTTTGAAAAAAATAGACTCAAAATTGACAAAATTGTTTTATTGGCACTACAGTTCAAATGCATGGATTTTCTTCCTCACAAGTTGCGTAAAATAAAAATAAAATCAGCAGATATTTCTTAAGTGAGTAGTATGTGAACTTAATTGATTTTTATAAAATATAGTACAACAACTGCACTGCAGGCATAAATTTTCACGCTATGTTTTTGCATCCTTTATTTTACAGATTTCATTATGTTTTATTTGATGGTCAAGTCTATAGTGTGCTTTAGCATAAGTTTTAAAATGCATGGAGCTCTCAAAAAAGTTTCTTCTAGTGATATGGATAGTACATAAAATCTAGTATCAATGGCCCAGTGTTTCTCTTTCATAGAGTTCTTTGATTTTTTCTTATATTCTTATAAGTCCTTTCTTTGGAAAATATATGAACTTAGAAACAGAAGTTTCCCTGGCTCATATTATGCCCATGAGACAATGATAATGCTGAAGTCCTTTTCATAATCAGGACCTTTATAGAGATCATCCAGGTATTCTTAGCCAAAATATCCCTCTCATTGTACACTACTCCAGGGCAACATGTGGTGTGCCAGCTGGATGCCCTCCCTACATGCCTCAGGTGGCCACATTTCAATGGTGCCTATAGAGCACAGGCCAAATTCTCATTCTCTGTGTTAATCAGTGGGAGAATTCCCATAGAAAATGGGATGTGAACATATTTCAGGAAAACTCAAAGAGATTAGCCAGATGATTAGGCCAGGACATTGTAAGTTCAAGTTTTATGTAGGATTTCTATAGCATTATCTTAGTTGACCGAAGAATGCTATAAAATTTGGAGATATTTAGAAATTAAAAATAATCATCCTTTTCATTTTACTGTGATTTCTCCAAAGAGAAATTCAACAATATTTTTTCTTTTGATATAATAGGATCTCATCTTGATTCATAACATCAAAGACAACGGATGTACCTAGTCATATAATTTGACTGAAACTTTTTCCCATGGTATTAAAAGGATCTGATTCTACTTGTAGAAGTCTCATTATACTTCTCTTTTCAATTAAATTCTAGTCAATTCTACAAACATTTAGTAAATGCTTACTATGTACAAAGCACTTTAATAGATGCTCTGAATAATTCTGTGTATGGTGCTTTATAGTATGTAACATATTTTCACATTCATTTTCTCATTTGGTGAAGATTCACTTTCTTATTATTACTTAAATTGTCTAGAGTTTCAGATGATGTTGTTTCCTAGGTAGAATGTTTGTTTTGTTTTTGCTTGTTCTATTTTTGATGTGTCCAGAGACCATTCTAGAAATACATTTAGCTTTCCTTGAAGGAAAAATAAGGTCTTATCATTGTATCATCCTATTAAATTGAGTTGGATTGGAACTAGCGGCATTTCCTGAAATTTCTGTTTGTTTCATATGCCCTCAGGCTCCATTTTAAGTGTTTTTTTAATGACCTAATTGAAATGGTTTGTCAACATGTTCAAAAAACAAAATAATTTTATTTACTACTTTTATGACAATACTGATTTATCATATTTCATGTAATATCTTTTTAAGGCAAAAACAATTAGATTTTTCCAGAAACTATTTATATCTCATACTTAAGATTATATTAAATTTTACTGCTCTACCTTGAAATCTGCAAGTGCCATACAACTTCTGTAGAATAGGTATGAAATCTATTATTCCCCATTTAGCATGTGCAATATGCTCTAATATTGTTGCATCTAACGCAGAATGAAATAATCTGCTTCTATATTAATGTTACACTATCAAGTCTTATTTCTACATATTTCTGAGATTTTTTTCAAGTCTTTCTCTCAAACCTACTTTGTAAATACATTAGAATAGCCCCAGTTTTACTTTTATTCATTCATTTTATTTCCCTTACCCGTAGTGTTGAAATGGAATTTATCAATGCTTTAGCATTATAAGATTTTCAAATAATTTAAAAGAAAAATTATCTTCACTTTAAGCATTGAATGCATCACTTTTTTCCATAAACCCGAAACTCAGAACCTGTAGGAACGCCTTCATTTGCTTTATTTCTGACATTAAATTTGCAAAAAGGCACTTTCCAGGTAACCCATCAGCTATGTCACCCTGGGTATTTGGCCAGAGGGCAGTCATGTTGACCCCATCTGCAAAGGCTGGCTAAACTAGAGTCTTGGACTATTAGAATCTCATTCATCAAGGTCCACATAAAGTACGGTAGGTGGGAAGCAGGAGGACAGATGGTAGGGTCGGGCGCAAGGAACTTGTTTGTTGACATTGATGTAGACGCTTCTTCTTGCCAGAGTGACTCCATGCACTTATTTTGGCATGGAAGACTAGGCCAAAGCTATCATCTTAATAGAAGGTGAGCTGCAGGCAAACTAGAGAGATCCATGCACAGTAGGTATTTAGAGTTGGCTTAGATTTTATCTATCAGCTTGACTGTCATACATACTTGATTGATGTGCAGCAGGGCTTGAAAGTGCTGCATTGATGTTGAGGACTGTGTCATAAGGTTCCTGATATGGTGCACATGTCTGAATGGAGTTGGACATTGGCTGTCTTTGCCCATGCCAAACAACACCAGACTTCAGTGCATTATTCTGCAGTTGAGTAGCAGATGGTGACTGCAGACGTTTGGAGGGGGTGTGCCTTCAAACACAATATGGAGCCAGCAAACTTACTTAGAAGGTTATTACATGTCTTGACTTTGGCAGCTATTTTTTAAGCACTGTTGAAAATCCAAGTTCCATCCATTGTTATTCGCAAAATACTAGGCAAGGTTGGTATTCCATGGAAAAGAAATGTGAAAACGCAAATACACTGTTCACTATGCTGGTTACAGTTACTTGGGGGTGTTTTCCTTGGTATTGTCTAAATGGGCCAAGTAAACATTCTCAGATTGATTATTCCTGAAATTGGTACCAAAACAATTATTAATATTAGCAATGTAGGTAAATTTTATCAATAAGTCAACAACGGGAAAGGCCATCAGAGCATTGGGTGAATGCTGTAGTCAAATATGGTATTTATGAGTGACTTTATTTTCTTTGGGTTTTAATTCAGGAAAATTATTGTGTTCTTCAGCACTAAAAAAAAGTCAAGTATCTCAATATCTCAATAGATGTTCTTTATGCACAAAAGTATGGAGATTCACAGATTAAAGAGCACAGTAATTCTACATGTATATGAAAGTGATTTTTATCGGTATCTGATTTTTTTCCCTTAAGTGAATTTCTAACCCACATAAATTCATTTTAGGCTTAAAATAACTTTTTTTTCCAGATTAAAAGGTAATGTACACTTGTTGAAAGGATGTGTCAAAATAGAAAATATATATAACGAATAAATTTAAATCACTTGACACCACCAATCATGGATAAACAATTCTAAGTATTTGCTCTGCCTCTTTCCAAGTGTATGGGTGTTTCTAAAGTGTACAGGTGTTTATATATATGTGTTTGTTTGCATATTTCTAAACAACATTTTGGATTGTATAGTCTGTATAGTGATCTCTTCACTTAGCATTAATTTTATTAATTCTGAGTCATAAAATACTCATTTTCATTAGCTGTGTAATATTATATCTTAATTATGTACCAAAAAATTTTAATTAACTCCTTCATGTTTGACATTTAGGTCATTTTCCACTATTATTTCTCCTACTCTGAGGATCATTTTTATATATAAATTTTTATCTGCATCTTGGATTATGTTTTTAGCATACATCCTTAGAAAGTTGATTTCTGGGCTAGAGGATGTAAAATTCTCAAGGTTCCTTTGAGAATTCTTCTCCAATTGTATGTAAAAGTGCTTTTCTAACTACATTCTTAACTGTTTTGAATAGCAGCATTATATAAATATATGACAAATTGCAGGCAAAATAACTAGTTTACATAGTTTTAATTTGCAGTGATTTAATAAGGAACTAGAATGTTTTTTACATGTTTGTCATTGTTTTCTTATTTTTATAAATTGTTTGCTTGTGGTCTTTACTCATGTAGTTTTACTGATTTGTAAGATTTTATGTGAGAAAATGTTAAATATTTGTATGGTCAATTTCTTGTGTATTTTTTTCTCTGTGACTATGTTCATTACTTTTATCTTCTTTTTTAAATAGCTTGAAATTTAGTAAATATTCACCATTTTTTCTAGTATGATCATGGTTCTGTTTTATATTTTTAATTGTGTTTCTCCCAGAATTTATTTTAGCATGTTATGATGTAAACATCTTACTTACTTTTGTTCTTAATGGTTAATCAATTGTTCCAGAATCATTTCCCCACTGATTTTGACATCATCTTGATTGCCTACTAATTTTTATCAACATTAGGATCTATTTCTGGACTATCTGCTTTTTCAGTTCTTTCACCGGTTCTATATTGCTTCCATTAGAGCTTCAAAATAAGTTTGTGTATCTTTTAGGTAAAATCCTTCCTTATCTTTCTTTTTTCAAAAATGCTTTGGCTTTTGTCACCTACTTACTAGTCAGGATTTGTTTAGTTTGTTGAGTTCATAAAAATGTTTCATTGGAATATTTGTTGGAATTGTATTAAACCTATAAATCAGTATTAGTATCTTTGCAATATTCAGTCTTCCCATTCAGAAGCATAGTATGTTTTCATACATAAATAGATTGTATCTTTTTATTCATATAGATCCCCAAATTCCTTCATATATTTAGGTATAGGCATGCTATGTTCTTGTTAGTGTCCTTAATTGCCTATATTTCATTTATAATTCTTTGGTAGAAAAGCCACTTCCTATTTATAATCCACATGATCCTCAACTTATGTGGGGTTCCATTCTGATAAACCCACTGTAAAACTGGAAAATCTTAAGCTGAACCACTGTAAGTTGGGGACTATCTGTATTTATTATCTAGTTATTTTATTCAACTCTCTTAATAGTTTTAATAATTTCTTTTAAGTTCTTTTGGGGTTTCAAAGTTATTAAATTATCTCCTAACAAAGATGACTGTCTATTTCCTTTCTTATTCCTGTTTAATATCCTATTTCATTGACTATAATTTCCAAAACAGTTAAGTAATCGTTGTGGTAGAGGGCATATTTCTTGTTTTTTATTATGTGGTATTATCTCTAGTTTTTTTTCATATTTAAGGCAGATATTGGTTGTTGATTTAAGACAGATATTATTTGATATATTGGTAAAGTGGATTAACATACTATTTTCTGAATCCTTATTTGATTATTAGGAATGGACGTTGACTTTTATTAATCTTTTTTTTCTGGTAAATATTGTCCAATTGTAACTCATGGACATAGACTTTTCTTGAGATGTATTTTTCAACTCAAATTAATTCATCATACATTTTATTTAGCACTTACTATATGCCAGAAATTGTTCACTAGACATTGGGATTAAGATGCATAGCCCTTTCCCTTTAAAACATTATAGGATAATTTGAAATGTGACAGTTCAGCAAAGGACTTAGCATAATTGATTTTCCACTATCAAATTGCTCTTGCATAACTAGAAAAAACTTTATGATCTTATTAAGAAAACTTTCAGAGTTTTTTTAATAACCTAATGGTATAACATGTCACAATGTGAATTTTTAAAATTGTTTAAATGTAAAATGGTGATTCACAATTGAAATTATGAGTTTTTATATTGAAACACCATTGTGTTCAGATTCTAATAAAAAATGTCCATAAAAGTTTATAATGCCTCAGAAAATTCATAGACTTATGTAATATAGATTGTTTATATTCTGTAAGATTAGGAAATTGGAATTTCTAATCACACCTGACCACTTCTTGTAGAGTATGACAAAAACGATATGTGATATTGGGGCAACTCATTTTCATGATGCTGTCATTGGGGTTTCATTTCTCTGGAGTCTGAATCATCTGAGGATTTCAGCATGTATTTACATAGATTTATTTTCACTTGAAGGGTTTTTTTGGTATTAATTTTATTGGCTTAGTGTAGTGTAGCATAATCTAACTTGCTTTCCCCATGTAATGGTATCATTTGTCTTATTTTTGGGAATTCTTTAATTTTGTTCTTTTACATAGTGTGCATGAATGAAATTAGATTTTTTGTATTTCACACAAATATTTATTGAGAACCAATTTTCTGCTCAGTATCATGCTAGTTATTATGAATTACAACACAGAAAACATAAGTCATACTTTCAAGGAACTTACTTTCTAGTTCATGGATAGATACAAATAAGGAAATTGCAAAACTCCTAATGAAATATTTATTTTTATAGAGGCATATATGTATGCCTCTGCATGTGTGTATATATAGAGAGATATTTATTTATTTATTTATTTATTTATTTATTTATTTATTTATTTTTGAGACAGAGTTTCTCTCTTTTTGCCCAGGCTATAGTGCAATAGTGTGATCTCAGCTCACCGCAACCTCCGCCTCCCAGGTTCAAGTGATTCTCCTGCCTCAGCTTCCTGAGTAGCTCGGATTACAGGCATGTGCCACCATGCCTGGCTAATTTTGTATTTTTAGTAGAGACGGGGTTTCTCCATGTTGGTCAGGCTGGTCTTAAACTCCTGACCTCAGGTGATCCACCCACCTCAGCCTCCCAAAGTGCTGGGATTACAGGCGTAAGCCACCACGCCCAATTTATTATGTGTGTGTGTGTGTGTGTGTGTGTGTGTGTGTGTGTGTATAAGTTGTATAAATATATTTCATATAGACTTAATATAGAGAGAGATTTATACACACACACACGGAGTCATATTCTTGTTCTTTTAGCAAATGTGTCAGTTCTTACAAGATTCCTTTTGTATATTTACCTCACCCTGTCCTCTTCATGCTTTTCCTATCATTATTGTACTTTTATAATTGTTTCTTCACTTGCAGCTTAAATAATATATTTACTTCTGCAATTTTTTTTATTGTCTTGGAAACTACACTGGATAGACAAATGTCATGCACATTAATCTGTAAGATATTATCAGTGATAATTTGTCTCAAACAAAGGTGAACCTGCTCAGAGTTTGGAAATAGGAATAGTGCAGGCTACTATAATTGTAGACTGAAATCATTGCTTTCTGAATCTCCTATTTGATTAAAGTACATACTTGTCTTGATTTTTAGAACTATTCACAAAGAGTTAACATGCATAGTAGGAGAAACCCAAAATGTGAATGGCGAAGTTATCATCTCTATTAAATGGGGATTTTAGCAGTAAGCTTTGGTATATTAAGGAAGAAAACTCCCATACTTTGGGCTTTCATGAGATTTTTATTTCATAGGCCCATTCATTTTAAACTTTAGCATTTGGCATATATTCTAAGGTTTAGTCTTAAAATTTTATCAAATTTTGAAAATTTCTATCTCCCCTAAATTTTTAATGTCTGCATTGAATAATGTTTGTCACAGACCACAATACCTGTCCCTGTGGAATGGTTATTCTATCTTAATTCAAAAGTAATACTATTGATTAGATAATACTTACAGCTTCCAAACTTCAAGGCATTTTTTAGCCACCATTTCTCCTTAACCTAATTCTGAGCTTCCTGTGTGGTATCATTTGTTTGAGGTCTTATTAAAATGTAAATAAATTGCACCCAGCATACTTCCTCTATTTGCCCAGCTTATTACTATATCAAAACAATCGTTTTAATGAAACATATTGATGTATTGTGTATTTCCGTATTAACCAAAGTGAAGAGGAAGTTATATGAATATATAACAGAGCCCACTTTGTAACAGTTTTTGTTAAAGCATTTTATAAATTGGAGATAATCTGAGCCATGGGAGATGATGTAATTCTACATGACAGAGTTCACAGAAAGAGGATAGCTCCTCAGATAGAATAAGATTAGACTCTTGAGAGAGATGCATTGGGGCTTTTATGGCACTTTACCTTTATAGGCGTAGCTGACTCTCAGTTCTTCATATTAATGTTGTAGTGTTGTAGCAAAGATAGTAAAAATAAAAATAAAGAAAAAGAGTGTTATCTAAAATAATGTATCTTTGGCATTGATATGAAATTTTTGACTTTTAAGCATCAAATTTGCCATTTCATTTTGTTCATCTAGAAGCTACTTCTAACCTCCATATTATTTCGGAGAAATGGTTTAATATTTATGTAGTAGCCGGTCGTGTGTGCGTGTGCGTGTTTTGTGTGTGTGTATAAAATCTCCATATGACATGATTGAATAAAACCAAATTCATGAAGTAATAAGCAATAACAATGAGTAGTATCATGAATAATGATCAATTGCAGGGCTATTAAATATGATAGTACTTGATCAATTACTAAATTAATTTTATAGAAAACAATTGCTATAGAAATACTTGAAATATTTCCGTTGCTTAAGCACAATACCAAATAGTAAAAATAGGAGGCTACTCGTTGTGTGCAGGGGAAAATGGGTAAGCCAAATTGGGATTAAAATGTGTCACGTTGGAATGAAATCCTGAAGGTCCAGTAGTGGTTTATTGTCTCTGTGTCATCAGACTATTGATGCTCGTAATCTTTCCTCATATTTTCTATATTTTCAGTGTACTGTTTTATTTTGTTTTTGCAATGGGCATGTATTCATGTCATAGTCACGAAAAGTTAATGTAAAAATGTGTTATGTATAGCCTACCTGTAGATAATTCATTAAGACTTAACTACTAATATATAAAATCTGCCTGAAGGAATGGGAGCCAGAAGCTAAATTTAAAAGAAAAGTATTTTATTGTACAAATAATCCATGTCTCCGAACTTGTTAACATTCTATTTTTAAAGCATTCTTTAGTGCAAGTCATGGAGACCTAAGCTCATGAGGTTAGTCATTACTAGGAAGTTACCTGAATATTTATGTTACATGTAACAGCTAGAGAGCCAGCTAATATTAATACAATTAATTATATTCTGTTAGAAGTACTATAGAAACATGTTATAGAGGGCCTTTCTTATCTCATATGGAGTTTCAATACAACTTAGAAAAAAGCTGCCTGTTCGGACACCTTTGTGCAAATTATTAAAAGAAACCCTTTGCTCAAGCAGATGCAGCTTGGGCTAGGGAACGTGGGTTATTGAGTGAAACACACTCCTGGACTAGGTGCCTTGGACAGGGTACAAACTATATAATCAGTTGTGTCTGCTCTATGTTATATGCCTTATTAGTTATTTGAAAATGGTTGGTGTTGTTCCATAGGTCCCAAATTATTTTATTCGTGCACAGAAAGGCAAGAATCATCTTCAGGTGACTTAGCAAAGAGGTGGTTAGTTAAGCTTTAAGTTAATACTGAGCTCTGATGATACAAATATGTTACTTTGTCTCAGACAAGTTTAAGGCAGATTTGAGGCTATTCTGATTTGAATAGCTTCGAAGGTAGAAGAAAACTAAAGTCACCACAAAAACATAGATGAGTTTATAGAGGATCTAAGGTTGCTATTTTCAGATTGCATCTGAAATGTTGGGGTATCATATAGTAAATTTAGATGAATTGTTACATGGAAGGGTAGATAGACAAATATACAGTAGAGACAGATAGATATCTCTTTGTTACAAAAAGAAATTGAGATAGCTTAAATGATACATACATGTACAATATAAATATATTTATGTATAAATATATTTATATAAATATAAATGACAGTAAGTGAAATATATAATATAAATTAAGTAAATAAAAAATAAAATGGGTAAACAGTGGAAAAACATGAGAAGGAGGCAAGAATTTGACCTACATTTAAAAAGCATCCTATAAAGGATCTTACCTACATTTACAGATTGGGCTCTGATTATATATTTTAAAGAAATACAATGCTTATACTAAGAAAAATCAATTTTCTAGGATGCTCTTCAGTATGTATAGGGATCACTGTATTATAATGTAAATATCAAGATAAATATTAACTTTCATTAGCAACAAAGGATATTTTATAGAAATGCTTCTTTGTAGTCCTCAATGTAGACTGACAACATCTTATTACTGTGAACTTTAGTATTCCCATTTTTAAAAGATTTGGACCAAATAGAGAACACTTCACACAGATATAATTCATTGAATGACAGTGAATTCTAGATTATCTAGATTATATTATATTAGATTATCTAGATTATATTACTTGAAATACAACTATTTTTTGTTATTGTTATTATTTGAGATGGGGTTTCACTCTGTCACCCAGGCTGGAGTGCAGTGGTGCCATCTTGACTCACTGCAACCTCCGCCTCCCAGGCTCAAGCTATCCTCCTGCCTCAGCCTCCCAAGTAGCTGGGACTACAGGTATGCGCCACCATGCGCAGCTAATTTTTGCATTTTCTGTACAGACAGGATTTTTCTGTGTTGCCCAGGCTGGTCTCAAACTCCTGGACTCAAGTGATCTACCCATCTCAGCCTTGCAAAATGCTAGGATTACAGATGTGAGCCACCATGCCTAGCCTATTTTTTTTATTGTTAATTAATAGCAGAAATAGTAATGAAGTTGGGACAGGGTTGATATCCTTTTATAGAAATTGCAAAGCCTAATAAAAACAATCGCTGGAGAGGTTTGCTGGAAAAATACCATTCCACAGGAACAGAAATCTGTTTAAATATTTATTTTGAATCCACTCTAATGTATACACAATAGGTGTTCGAGACTTCAAGTTTCTTTTTCATTGTAGCCTGGATATTGCCCTATTGATAACCTTATAAGAGGTGACAGCGTGCTGGCAGTCCTCACAGTCCTGGCTGCTCTGGGCGCCTCCTCTGCCTGGGCTCCCACTTTGGCGGCACTTTAGGAGCCCTTCGGCCCGCCGCTGCACTGTGAGAGCCCCTTTCTGGGCTGGCCAAGGCCGGAGCCGGCTCCCTCAGCTTGCGAGGAGGTGTGGAGGGAGAGGTGCGGGCGGGAACCGGGGCTGCGCGCGGTGCTTGCGGGCAAGCGCGAGTCCCGGGTGGGCGTGGGCTAGACGGACCCCGCACTCGGAGCGGCCGGCCTGCCCCACCGGCCCCGGGCAGTGAGGGGCTTAGCACCTGGGCCAGCAGCTGCTGTGCTCAATTTCTCGCCGGGCCTTAGCTGCCTTCCCGCGGGGCAGGGCTCGGGACCTGCAGCCCGCCATGCCTGAGCCTCCCCCGACCTACGT
This sequence comes from Homo sapiens, assembly GCF_000001405.40. Lineage (NCBI taxonomy): Eukaryota > Metazoa > Chordata > Mammalia > Primates > Hominidae > Homo > Homo sapiens. Next base: position 114,812,786 of record NC_000003.12, on the reverse strand, counting down.
GGGCTCCTGTGCGGCCCGAGCCTCCCCTAGGAGCACCGCCCTCTGCTCCACGGCGCCCAGTCCCATCGACCACCCAAGGGCTGAGGAGTGCGGGCCCACGGCGACGGACTGGCAGGCAGCTCCACCTGCAGCCCGGGTGCGGGATCCACTGGGTGAAGCCAGCTGGGCTCCTAAGTCTGGTGGGGACGTGGAGAGCCTTTATGTCTAGCTAAGGGATTGTAAGTACACCAATCGACACTCTATATCTGGCTACTCTGGTGGGGACTTGGAGAAACTATGTCTAGCTCAGGGATTGTAAATACACCAATCGGCACTCTGTATCTAGCTCAAGGTTTGTAAACACACCAATCAGCACCCTGTGTCTAGCTCAGGGTTTGTGAATGCACCAGTCGACACTCTGTATCTAGCTACTCTGGTGGGGACTTGGAGAACCTTTGTGTGGACACTCTGTATCCAGCTAATCTGGTGGGGATGTGGAGAACCTTTGTGTCTAGCTCAGGGATTGTAAACGCACCAATCAGCACCCTGTCAAAACAGACCACTCAGCTCTACCAATCAGCAGGATGTGGGTGGCGCCAGATAAGAGAATGAAAGCAGGCTGCCGGAGCCAGCAGTGGCAACCGGCTGGGGTCCACTTCCACACTGTGGAAGCTTTGTTCTTTCACTCTTTGCAATAAATCTTGCTACTGCTCACTCTTTGGGTCCACACTGCCTTTATGAGCTGTAACACTCACCGCAAAGGTCTGCAGCTTCACTCCTGAGCCAGCGAGACCACAAACCCACCAGAAGGCAGAAACTCCGAACACATCCGAACATCAGAAGGAACAAACTGCGGAGACGCCGCCTTTAAGAACTGTAACACTCACCGGGAGGGTCCGCGGCTTCATTCTTGAAGTCAGTGAGACCAAGAACCCACCAATTCCGGACACACTTATACAACAAGGTGACGGAGTTCCATCACATTCTCCATCCTCAGACTTACATCTTTAAGCAATGTATGTGATGTTTCAGGATTTTGTTTCATGGATTAGATTTCTTGTTTTCCAGACAGAAACAGTAATCTTTACTATTACGGGTTCCTAGATTAAAGGTTATGACACTTTAATGAGATGAAGTTTGGTGAATACTTTGATTTCCTCAACATGTTGTAAAAGTGAAGTATTATGTTGATCCAAAGATATCAGTAAGATATTCACAATTAATGCTTTATACATTCTGAATTTTTCCTAAACAAAGTTTGCTGATTTTTTTCATCTATTTAAGTCTCTGAAGGAAAATGAGTTTAGATAATTCCTAGAAGCAGATACTATATGTTTATCTCTTTTCATGTGATAGGAGTTATTTTGTAAATCCGTTCATAATTTAAATGCTCTAGGGAAGTGTATTCTCAAGGGAACTTTATTGTGGATCATCATGTAAAGGAAAAATTATTATATAGTAAATATTATTCTCTATATCCATATGGGAACTTTCTGATTTACAAGTTATTTGAGTTCCAAAAGGAGCTTATTCCCTTTGTGTGTTCCCAAGGAAGTATAACCTGAGTGAGCCCAGGAATCTGTGAGAAAATAAGCTGGCAAATACTAACCTGATCCAAGTAAGTATTTGGACCTGCTTAGATCTCTGAGCTATTATTGTTTTGTATAAGATTAAGTCTAAATGACATATTCTTTACAATTGCTTAGAATAGGTTAGTCCAGCTCCAAAGTTCATAGCAACTCATTATTAACCAAAGTAATTCTAGTCCTTCTCGCTGAGTGGTTTCTCCAAACTCTATAGAGTGAGGCAAAACTATTTATCTCCCATGGGAGAATTTTGGTAACCTTATCCCTATATCCCATACACTTCCCTAGAAATTCTTAATCCCCCCCAAACCTTTAAACTTTCTAGAGATGTAGTAGGAGGGGCAGTTGAAGATTTTCTATACACATGTAACCATTATGAAAACGTTCATTCAATGGCAGTTAGACTTCCCCCCCGCCACCCCACATGCATGGATACCTGCAGCTAGGCCCCTGATTCCTGCATTACTAAGAAAAGAATTAGGCAGTGGTCATTCGCTGAAGAAATGGCATATGGCATAAGTCGTTTATGCCCACTATAGATTAAAAGGTCATAAATCATATCACAGAAGCTGGATACTTTTGGGAGTGAAAGTGGCCAAATTAAAAGTTATGTTGGGACAACTAGCACAGTTAGGAGCCCACAGTGTTTTAGCCGGGAGTGCTTCCTCCTATTATCCGTCCCCACAGTTCCATTGTATCAGTAGTTCTGCCAGGGCAGGACAAGTCATGAAAACCCACAACTTCACTGCTGAAAGGGGGTGATTCGATAATTTGATGGAGCAGAACATAGAAAAACCCCATGCCCTTAGGTGTGGTCAAAACAGTGACAATCTCAGGGGCAAACAAGCAGGGAGAATAAACATCATATGTAGCCTGAAGTTACAATTCAGAGTAGAAAAGAACTGGCAGATTGGCCAGAAATTTAGCAGGGAGAATTGGAAAAGGATACTATCATAGTGAACTTTGGTAAGCTACCACATATTCCTAGAGGTCTGAAAGGCTGCACACATACTCTGGGGAAGACCTAAGGCTTTGGACACACAGAGAGAAGATAAGAGAGAACAAATGGAAAGTAAAAATCAAAAAAACACTTGTAAACTGCCTGAACTTTGAGTGCATTCTACAACCCACACACACGTATATATCAATTAGAGGCGTTAGCATAGTGGCCCTAGGTGTTTAAGTACAACCTGTGACTGATCGTTGGCTGACCACTAAACTGTGTTAACACAGGGGAAAGTCCCAGCTCAAAAACGAAAATGGAAATTACACAAACTGAGCAGAAACATCAGCAGCGGCACAGCATGGGGAAGAGAGGCTGCACAGAGTTATGTTAGGCAAGTCCTAAATAAACAAACACAGCAATAACAGCAACAACCCTCAACAGGGAAAAGTCAGAAGCCAGAGTTGCTGTAATATGCTATATAAAATGTCAATTTTCAAGAAAAAAATGAGACATGTAATAAACAGGAGTGTGACTCATACCCAATTTAAGAAGTGGTTAAAAGAAAGTGTCTGAAGAAAAAAAAAGAAATTATATTTGGGTTGAAGTGGAGATAGCAGATGTTAAACTTAGCAAACAAAGAGTTGAAAGCACTATTATAAATATGTTCAAAATAATAGGAAATCATGTTAAATAATTAAAGTATTACTATAATTACCCTTTAAATAGAGAGTATCAATATAAACATAAGTGTTATTTTAAAAGGAACAAAAATTCTGGAGTTAAAAAATATTATAATGGAAATTAAAAAATTGCAAGAGAATCTCAACAGAATATTTAAGATGGCAGAATAAAGACACAATGAGATTGAAGATCAATTAATAGAAATGGTCTAATTTGAAGAGAAAAGAACAATGAAAAAATGAGCAGAGCTTCGGAGACCTGTGAGAGACCATCAAGCATACTAACATATGTGTAATGGTAGAGAAGAGGAGGAAAGAAAGAAAGGGCTCAAAAATATTTGAAGAAATAATAGCCAAAAACTTCCCAAATGTGATGAATAACATTAATCTACACATTTGAGAAGCACAAAAACTCCATGTTGGATAAACACAAAAAAAATCTGTACATAGACACATTATAGTCAAACTTTTGAATGAAAAAGAGAAAATTTTGACAGTAACAAGAAAAAAAAGACTGTTACATACAGGAAAACAACACTACGATTAACAGCTTACTTCTCATTAGAAACAAAGCCAGGAGGTAGAGGGATGACGTATTCAGTGTGCTGAAGGAAAAAAAGGGAAAATGTCATTTAGGAATTTTATATTTAGCAAAATTGTTCTTCAAAAATAAATATAAAATAAAGATATCCCAAATAAACAAAGACTGAGACAATTTGTTGCTAGTAGACCTGCCTTACCAGAAATACTGAAGGAAATCCTTTAAGTGGAAATGAAATGATAAAAATGTATCTAAAATTCACCTAAACAAAAGGACCTCATCACGTCATTATTTAGGTAAGTATAGACATGATATAAACATAAAACTAAATTCTGTTTGAACAGAAGGAAGGATATAACAAAGATAAGAACAGAAATCAATGAAATAGATAATGAAAATAATAGAGAAAATTAATGAAACCAAAACTTAGTTTTTTGAAAAGATCAACCAAAACTTAGTTTTTCTTTTGCTAGACTGATCAAGGAAAAAGGAGAGAAGATGACAGATTACCAAAATGAGGAATCAGAGAGAAGGTATCACCACCAACCCCACAGAAATGAAAAGGATTATGAGGTATAGTTATAGTTAATACTATATTATAAACAAATAGTATAACCTCATAATCATTCTCATTTCTATGGGGTTGGTGGTGATACCTTCTCTCTCATTCCTGATCTCATACTATACTATGAACAAATATTATAACCTCATAATCCTTTTCATTGCTTGATAGTTAGAAATACAACCTGTGACTGATCATTGGTTGACCTCAATTGTCATTGCTTAACAATTAGACAATTGTTAGCAACTGGACAATTGTTAGCAATTAGCTGGATAAAATGGACTATCTTAGAAATGCGCAAATTACCAAAACTGACTCAAGAGGAAATAGAAAATATGAACAGACTCGTAATAAAAAGACATACAATTTATACAATTTATAGTTAGGAGAAAATCCTAGATGTAGATGACTCCACTGGTGAATTCTATCCAATACCAGTATTTCACAAACTTTTCTAGAAATAGAGCAAGAAAGGTCATCTTTCAATTATTTGTACAATATTACACTGAGAGCAAAGCCAGACAAAGACATCACAATGAAAGAAAACTGCAGACCAGATTCCCTCATGAATATAGACACCAAAACTCAACAAAATATTCACAAACCAAATGTGGCAAAGTAGAAAAGCATTATACAGTGCTGACCACAGAGGATTTATCCCAGGAATGTGAGTTTCACTTAACATCCAATAATTAATTAATGCAATATAGCATATTAATAGAATAAAAGAGAAAACACATGACCATTTCAATAGATGTACAGAAACATTTGAGAAAATCCAGTATCCATTTGTGATATAATCTTTCAACAAAAGGAATAGAAGAGAACTTCTGTAACCTGACAAAGGGCATCTATGAAGAACTTATAATGTATGTAATGATGAAAACCTGACCGATACACTCCTAGGATCGGAAAAGAGGCAAGGTTGTCAGTTCTTATGTCTTCTGTTCAACATTGTACAGGAGATTCAATCCAGTGCAGAATGATAAATACATGTAAGAAAGAGAGAGAGAAGCAAATTAGAGGAAAAAAAAAAGAAGCAGCAGCAGCTGCAGGGGAGGGGGAGGGGAAGGGAAAGAGAAGGGTTAGACAGACCAGCAGAAAGAAACAATCAGTGGCATACAGATTGGAAATTAAAAAGTAAAACTATTTATTTGCCGGCAATATAATCTTGTACATAGAAAATTCTAAGCAATGTACATACACCTCCCCCACCACACACACGAACTAATAAAGGAATTCAACAAGTTAACTGAATATAAGAAGAGATATTGTACAGAAATCAATTATATTTCTGTATACTAGCAACAAACAATGAAATTAAGAAAACAGTTCAATTCACAATCCTGTCAAAAAGAATAAAGGCGTTTTTACAGAAATTGACAAGCTAATCCTAAAATTTACACGAATATGCAAAAGATCCAAAATAGTGAAAATACTTTTGAAAAAGGAAAACAAAATTAGATAACGTACAATTTCTGGTTTTAAAACTTACTTTATAGAGTATGATATTGGCATACAGATCAATGGAATGGAATTGAAAGTTCAGAAAATTCATCATATTTTTGATCAATTAAATTTGACAAAGGTGCCAAGGCAATTTGTCATGGGAAGGGATAGTCTTTTCAATAAGCAGTGCTCTGTAATTGATGCTAGGATTATATGCGATATAAATGAATATTCACGAACCTAGGACTGTAAAAAACATATTTTAGTTCTTATTTCATATCCTGCACAAAAATTTAATCATGGGCCTAAATGTGAGAGCTAAAATTATAAAATTTCTAGAAGAAAACAGGAGAAAATCTTCATGACTTTGGGTTAGAAAAAGTTCTTAGCTATCACACCAAAAGCTTGATTCAATAAAATCCTTGGTAATTAGGATGTCAACAAAATTTAAAACTTTTGCACTTCAAAAGACCCATTAAAGAAATGAAATGACAAACCAAAGACAGGCGAAAATATTTGCAAGATTGCGATTTGCAAATCATAATCTGATAAGAATTTTTACGCATAATATATAAAGAATTCTTCAATAATAAAAAGACAAGCAACCCAGCTAAAAACTGGGCAAAATATTTGACAATTCACCGAAGTTATTCACCAAAGAAGATGAAGTCATGCCTAATAAGCACTTGAAAACATGGTCAACATTATTATTTCCAGGGAAAAGTAAATTAAAACCGTAAAAGACTACTTCACACCCGCTAGAATGGCTGTAATAAAGACAGATAGTAACAAGTGTTGGAAGATAAAGACAAATTAGAAGCCTCCTATATTACCAGGGGAGATGTAAGAGTATAGTCACTTTGGAAAGTGGTTTGGAAGTTTCTTAAAAGTTAAAATAAACTTACCCTTATGATCCAGCAATACCACTTTGAGGTATCTAAGAGGAAAAAAAATATGTCCACACAGAGACGTATTTTATGTGAATGTTCATGGCAGCATTATTCGTAACAGTAAAAAACTGGAAACAATTCAGATGTCCATTGGCTGATGCATGGATAAATAAAATGTGGTGTTATATCCATGCAGTGGAATAGTATTCATCAGTAAAAGGGAATAGACTACTGCTACATGCCACAACATAAAAGAATCTTAAAAATGAATTATGATAAGTGAAAAAGCTACATGAAAGAGATCACATATTATTTGATTGCATTAATAAAAATATCCAAAAAGGGCAAATTTATAGAGAGAGAAAATATTTGTTGTCTGGGTCTAGGGATTGACTCCCTAAGGGTATGAAGGATCTTTGTAGGGTGACAAAAATATTCTAAAAATGAATTGAGGTGATGGTTATACAACTCTAAATTTACTTAATGTCATTGAGTTATACACATAACAAGAGTGGATTGTATGTTATATAAGTTATATCTCAATAAACTGTTATGTTTATTAAAACTAAGTATAGAGAAACCTGGCAGACATTCTCCTAAGCAAGCGACCAAGGTTAACATACCCCGAGATATCATATACCTTTGATGTTATAAGAAGGGCACATCACCTCTTTTGTATTCTTCTCTAAAACCTATAATCCGAATCTAGTTACGGGATTGGACAAATCAAAGTTGTAAAAGGTTTCACAAAATATCTGACCACTAGTCTTCACAATTATCAGTCATGAAAAACATGGAATGACCAAGAAGTTATCACAGATCAGAAGAGACTGAGGAGACATGGCAATTAAAATGCAGTATGGTATCCTGGATTGGATTTTTGGAACAGAAAAAACATATTAATGGAAAAATTGGTGACATCTGAATAAAGTCTGTAGTTTAGTTAATAGTATTGTGTCAATATTAATTTCTTAATTTTGTCAAATTTACCATGGTTATGTAAGATAGTAACATTAGGAAAAACTAGTGAAGGAAATATGGGTACTCTCTGTACTATCATTGCAACTTTTCCATAATTCTAAAATTGTTCCAAAATACAAAGTTAAAATTTTAAAAAGCAAATGGAGAATTTATAGATTAAAGGATAATTATCGTTTGAATATAATGTGTACATCTTATTTAGATCCTGATTCAAACTAACCAGTTATAAAAAGAAAAGACCATTTAAAAGTCAATCATTTAACATGGACAGGATATTTAATGACATTAAAGAATTACTATTATTTTTGATGTGGAATGATATTAGTTATGATTGTCATCTTTCAGTAACACATAGTAAAGTATTCATGCATAAAATAATAAGCTATCTGGGATTGTCTTTCAGATGCTCTGGTGGAAGAAAAAGTAGGTGAAAGTATAATTGGAAAAACAATTGACTATGGGTGATGGGTACTGGAGAGTTCATTTTTCTGTATTCTGCCCTCTCTCATATATTTGAAATATTTTATAATAAAAAGTTTTTAAATAGTGGAAAGAAAAAAATACTAAAATAAATAATTAAAGTATTATAATTAGCCTTCTATGCTGACCACAAACAGGGCTGTCTCTTAAAAATCAAATCTGCACAATGTCTGAATAAATAAATTATAGAGAGATGAGTGAACTCTCAAAAGCAATCTGAGCAAGATACAGTCAGTACTGAATAGTTGGAAGAGCAATAAGAGAAGTGCCTGAATTAACATAGACCTCCTAAGCTGGAATGCTTTGTTGTTCTTTCCTTGAAGTTCTGTGACCTGGTGATATCTAAAACTCCTTCTGTGTGAGGATTTTAGAAAGTAGAATGTGGTCAGAAGCAGCCCTTTGTTCGTAGTCAATGGTAAGATCTGTAGTTCTCACCCCCCTTCAGGTTTTGTTTTGTTTTGTTTTTTTATTGACTAGAGGCTTTGTTTGTGGCCTTGTGACTTACAAGATAGGTTACTGCAATATAATGCATTTGCTACTTCTCTGGAAAGCCATTCAGAATCTTTAAGGAGTGCAGAATGTACAACTCTTTTGCTAAAGGGTCTCTGCCAGAGAAGCATTCTTCCGGATTTTGTATATTGCATTGATTACGGAGCTGTTGCTCAGTGCATCATTGGATGTTGACTGTAATCTATAAAGCCTTACATAGTTTTCTTCCAATTAAAGAAGTCTGACACTGGTGGTCAATTTTAATAATGACTGAGATTGATCTATGTGACTTAAAATTTTAACAGATTTTGGAACCTGAAATGTGAGAAACAAGTTTTCTTATTGATGACACATACTCTGAAATCTATTTTAAAGGTGGGTTCAGTGTACAGTAGTGAATTTGAATTAAAAAAAAAAAAAAAAACAGAAAGTTGAAAATAGACAAAAGTGCCAAAAATAAGGTATTTGTCCTGACTTTCTGTTCCTTCATCTCACCTGACATTCCCTCAGAATATTTTACATCCTTGATGACCAGTCTTTTAAGCAATTCTACCTGATAACCCCACTATATAGTGACAGAGTTACTGATTTGTTCCATGAGGAGATAAGAAGAGGAGCACTATTCATATCAAAGACAACTGGTCCTACTTCCAGGTCCATCTTTGGGCCAAGATATGTAGTCGCCAACAGTGAGTTGGCGACTATATTTTTTGAGTCCTGGCGCAAAGTAAGATCCATCTGTTTTGCCCAGCCGTTTGCCTGAGTGCCACAAAATGGTCCTGTTATTAGTCTTATTTGTGGTCCTATTTGAGGTTAGGTATAATGTAAATAAATTTCAGTTCTCCTCGTGATGAGTAGTACAGCATGGGAATTAAGAGGGCTGGTGTTGGTAGTTGTAAGTGATGTTGAGTCTCTATTTTTTCAATTGCTCTGTTTTCTTTGGATTGGGAAACAGACATTTAAGAATGAGTTTGTCATCTGGAAGGATAGTTGTGACCAAGTTTCCCTCAACAGGATACAAGATGTTATTTTTGAGCCTCATTACCCTCACCAAGAGAAAAAAAAAAAAGAAGGAAAAAGGAATAAGAAAGAAAGTGAAAGTGGAGAAGAAACAAGCAGAAATAGAAGAAAAAGATCAAAGAGGAGAAGGAGAAATGGCATGGGGGGGGAATGAAAATTGGTACACTGACCATCTATTCATATAATTGATTTAATTATTTTGAGCTGATAGTTCAATTCATTCAACATCTGGCAAATTGAGGAGAAGGAAACCTGACTGAATGAATTGAATTACTAGTTGTTAGTTATATGTTTATATGTAAATATTCAGCCTAGTTTCTATCACCTTTTCACGTCTAAACTAGAGAATGAATTTGTTTCGCTAACCATATTTTGTTGGTGAGTAGAACAATGCCAGTTGGTGAATTAGATTTATCCAGAGGTGGGCAGTTTTAAATTTCTGAATCATTTTTCAGAGATTATTGTTATTCAATATATTTATATTATATCTCATAATTTCTGAGCACAAGTTATTTTTGTCAGTTTCTTTTATGAATATTTTGCTGCCTTATAAGGAAATAATGTGCACTCCCCTCCTCTCATTCAGTTGTCCCTGGTGACGCCTCCATAATTTCTGCCTTTACGCTGGTTCATTTTTAGCCTAATTCAGGCATGTGAGAGGAGGGGGAAAAGTTTAGTTAGTCAATGTCAGTGATTTTTTTTAAATCTAATCTCATTCATGAGTGAATTTACTGTGAACCTGAGCATGTTTACGCTTAAAATCTATGTACATCAAATAGACCAATTACCCAAAATATTCCTCTATACATTTCAAGAGAAAAAGAAAACAGGAATCCCAAGTAAGAACTACATATGCTTTCTAATAATAGTACAATTTAAGGGGTGATTTGTGATTATGCTCTCATATGGGGAAATATTAAAATATTACCTTGCACTAATGTGAAATTGGATGTAAACATATGACATTTAGTGTTATAAATATATAGAAAGTATTCTGCCACGCTGTAAAGTGAATGAAAGCGAATTATATTACCTCATTTTATATTTTAAAAACTAAATTTTTCTAAATCCCATTGTATCAGTTTTTCAAAGCTAAAAGTAAGGATGATTTAATTCTAGTGTGTGATGTGATTTTTTTAATTTAAAAAATACTATTATTTATAGATGGTGTTGTTTGAAGAAAGAAATGATTCAAAAAATAGTATAATATTTTAAGCCTAATATTTATTATATACTTGGAGCTCTTAATGCCTGGACTGTTACTTAATTTGGAATTATAAGTACATATTTAAAAAATAAGCAACATGCTTACAGTTACTTAAACCAGGGAGTGTTGTTCAGACTCTCTTGGTCTTCCTGTGCTGCTTCAAACAGCAGTGGCTGCATGTGACAAGATGTACAATATGATGTGAAATGGGGCACGCTAAACCCATAATACAGTACATTTCAATGGCCATTTTGTGTTGTTAAATATGTTTATTTAGCCCTTCTTCACCATCTACCTCACCAGCAATTCAGTCACTGGAAAGTAGGAGATCTAGCATTTCTTACAATTCCATTTGAAGTCATAATTTCCCTTTAATATGTGTATTCAGACCCATAGATTTTCTTCTTTATTCCCTGAACTTAATATTTTCTGTAATCTTTAGGCTGTAGAAATTGTTTAGGAGTTTTTTTTTAATCAGAATATAGCTAAAATTCAGAAACATTGAGTTTCTAGTCATATCATTATGAAGTCCTTAACATGGAGGCGTATTTTGTTTTTCAGAATTGCTTTTTTTCTCCTCTTTAGATCCTTTTCTTTTCATTAAAAAACTACTCTGGGAAGAGGGTTTTTTCTTTTTTTTTTTTTTCCTTAACAGAAAAAAAAAAAAAAAAGAAAAAAAGAAAAGCCACGCTTGACTGATAATGCATTGCTTTGGATGGTGAAACATTATGAAAGTTTAATTTTTAATTAAATCTGAAATACCAATTATAACTGAAAGAGATTTTAACCTGTTTCTTTTCAGACTGCCTGAAGTTACATTTAGAGACTGAAATCACTGCACCTTAAAAACAAAAGATTGAGCTGCACTGTATTCCTGTAAGTCAAAGCTTTCTGTACCTTCTTCTGTGTTTCTGTGACCAACCCAAAAAAGGACAAAAACATTGGTAACATAGTAACCAGACATGAGTAAAAATTTGAATGTCCCTGAAGAAATATATGTTTAAATGATTTTCTTCTTAAAAAAAAAAAGTTGTTGGTCTCAATATTCAGTATGTCTTTTTTATCCAACCTAAATTGTGAATCCTTTCTTTTGGCTGGTTTGAATTTCATTAGGGAGGGTGTCACCCACTGTGCATGAGCACAGTGACACACACCCTGTCTGGAAAGATTCTTGCTTTTTTATTTTATTTTATTTTATTTTATTTTATTTTATTTTATTTTATTTTTACTAGTCTCACTGAAGGTAAAAGATTTCTTTTGGAATCAAAGTAGATTTCATTTTCCTTTGTGATGTCATTAGAAATTTTTAGCCTTTGTGTCAATGGAAATGGAGAGAAAGAAAGTTCATGATGACATCACAAGATTCTGTTGCCTTGAGGACTTTGGGCAAAACTAAGTAAAATGCATAATTCCCTTGTGTGCGTGTGTTCCCCATTCTGCTACGAAGCAGTCAAAATAGCACATCTTATGTCTTCCCGTGAGCTACAAGGCTGTCTCTCAGAGCCCCATTGTTCCATAAATGCATGTCAGAGTCTACCACAGTCTGGTCTACCCTTATTTAGCTGCTGTTTTGTCAATGTACTTGGAAGAACAATTAACATTTGGGATTTCAACGTCTGAATAACAGGCAGTGAATAGAACCCAAGCATATAAAAGATTCAGACGCCCAGGGTAAGAAAACAGAAGCTTATAGTTGGTGAAGAAAAAAAAGAAAAGCATTTTTAATGCTGCACTCAAAGGTTGTGAAATACTACAAGGAAAGTCAATCTGTTTTTATTTTTAATTTTAGATCAAAATGTACATTTTGGTAATAAAATCCAGAAGCTTATGATGTCTTCCTCAGTTTTACAGTTTAATGTATTGCAAGTTCTTTCGCTAAGAGTCTTAAAACACTTACCCTTCTATTGTTGGAATGCCAGATGTGGAGTCTACTGTATCGTGGTTTTTAGAGTGTCACAGCCCCCAGTCAACAGAGTACACTAAAGGTGATTCAGACAATTGCTTCCATTTTCACTGTAGTTCATTGCACTCTTTATTGACTGTAGTTCTTGTGTGTTGACAGTAGACAGTTCTGGAGTTGCTTATATGTCTCTGCCTATGGTCTGAATTCCTGCTAAGTTCATTTTTGTTAAGCGATGATGCACGGACAGAGCAAGGTTACCTTACTGTGATTGCATCTGGTGAAATGAAGGAGACTTTGGCACTTTGTGTATGTTGCCCACTGAGCATGGTGCCTGGCTGGTATGAGTGAATAAATGATAGTTATTGTTATTGTTGTCATAACTACAACAGTTCAAACCCACAGACAGTAAGGTCTCTAAGAGCAGGGGCTCTCTCTTTCTTACTCATTTTTGTAATTTCTAACCCTTGGCACAATAATAGGTAATCATGAAATAGCTGCTATTAGTTTAATTTCAAAACTTTTTAAAAGTCAGAAATCCAGGGTTCATTCTGTCAGAGAATATTTATTGTAAACACAGGTTGAATACAGTTTTTGACAGTCAGGAAGAAGATGATAAAGGAATTTGCCAAACACAACCTTTCTGCTTATCATATCATACGAGGTATCCATCTCCCAGCCCCTTACCTCATTGACTTTACACTTCTTTTTCCTGACCAAAGTGAGAATTGACCATTCATACCACATCCTTTTCACCTATGAAATGGTCTTCAGCATTTTTCCACTTAAGTTGTGTGTTTTATATCCCACACACTAGAATCAACTCCACAAATAAATATGCCCAATTCCAGGGTAGATGATGCTCTGATACCTCAGTTCGTCTTGCCATATTATAGATTTTGTTTCAGGGAAATGGGACAAGTGGTACAATAAGTATTGGGTCAAGAGGCCAGGGATTTGGGAAGGAACCATTAGCAGAATGTACTTTTAGTGCATAAAAAGCTAGGACCAACTTTTCAACACTAATATGACCACAATATTCTTTAGAACTCAGAACCATTTGACACCTTCTAAGTTGTTTTTTTTTCTTTTTTACATACATTTATCTGCCCCTCTTCCCCACCATCAGTTTTTAAAATTTATTTCCAAAAGGGATTCTTTCATTTTTATTAAATGAGCTTCTGGTGATGCAAATTAAGGCTCTCATAAAACTTGACCTCTGAGGCAATATTAAAATGATGAAATTTAGGCTTAGTGAATTCTACTGTTATCATGTTCAATAACATTTAAGGACATAAAAGAATTTTATAAAAACATTTTATATATTTTAAGATTGAAAAGTTTAGGCAAATGTAAGGGCAGAGCATCACCAAACATTATAGTGGGAAAGGATGTAAGAAACAAAGTCTAGTGACTTCATTTTTAAATAAGCAAATTGAGGCACAGGGTAGGGCACAAAGGTTACACAAACCATATTGACCACCATCGCAGATCATCCTTAGAGACCTAGACGTGATAGTCTATCTGAATTTACAATCTGAGGCTTCAATCTTTCCACTACAATCAGGGTCTAAGCAATGTTTCCTGAGGAGCAAATTGCCTTGGGCTCATTTTTTGAGACTTGTTGAATTGTAGTCCCCTTCATCAGAATCTCAAATTCATATATAAAGGAGTATCCTGAAAACATTGGTTGTTATCAAAAGAGGTTTTTTTGTGTGTTTTTTTTTGTTTTTTTGTTTTTTAATTTTGTTCCTAGTATCATGCCTTTGGTTGAGCAACGAGTCCTGTAGAGGCAAATTTATTTGGTTGACTTAATATTCTTTATGATGATTTACAAAGTGGACATAAGACCATTAGAACTTCAGTAGTTTAATTGGGCTTACAGACATGATGAAACCAGTAATCTGAACAGAACCATAGTGGTGTGGAATTCAAACTTCCCAAGGGTGTGTACGACGCATGGTGTCAGAATGTCACTGTTGCCAGGGGTCATTTCCATCAGAGAAAAGTTTTCCAGAGTCAGAAAAAAAAAGAAATAAGCTTTAATATTTTAAAATGAATTACTTGCTCTGGTCATTTGTTTCACATTGCTTTCATTGGATTCTGTCATTTACCAATCCAAAGAGGCTACGGTAAAAACCTGTTATTTTACCCAAAGCTAAATTCTGGACATTTTCTAGTTTCTTCCTTTATTTTAACCCATCCAGGTCTTCCCTCTCTCCACCATGTACTGAAAGTTAGTGGCCTTAAGTCTTTGTGCCTCAAAGACAAAGAGACAATAGTTCTGCCCTTTAAAAATTCCATGGAAGCTTTGGCATATAGAGAAGGAGGAATCGAGACATGGTGATACCAGAGCAGGGTCCTAGATGTAGATGTTCAACAAAGTTCTCTCTTCAAACCTCTTCTCCCTTTCCTTTATAATAATGAATTAATGTTCTGTGCCTCCTATAACAAAATATTTTACCAAGATACACAGATAAATAACACATATTTTCTGTTATTAAGGAATTCATAATTTATCTGGGAAAATCGCATCTTTCTTATAGACAAAACATTATATGGAATAGCAGAGGAAGTAAATGGTTATCATTTTTTTCTAGGCCATGAAGGAATAATGTGATACTAGCAAGAAGCCTATGAAGAGGGAGTAATAAATGAAAGTCAGGAGAACATTGATAGTATTGGTGTGATTTCAACATAGAATGCTTGTTGGGGACAGTGACTAGAGGAGGAATTGGATGAGAACCATAATGTATGGGAGGATCAGTTTTCCAAAGTGTGGGTTGCAACGCATTAGTAGGTCATGAAAGTTTAAAAGATCACATATACTAGAATCACAGGAAAATAAATATTTTTTAAAGCACATCACATATTTTTAAGATACTAGATGGCAAAATAAGTGTATTTCTTATGAGAATTATGCACCAAAATATAAAAGCAGCTTAAACATGACAGAGCTTTTAAATATTTAACTCATGTAATCCTAATTAAGGGATAAAATTATTTTCTTCCTTATATATGAGAAAATGGTGGAGTTAAGCAATTTGCCCCAGGATATACAACAGGTAAATAGTAGACACAGGATGTGATCACATCTGTCATACTCCACATTCATACTCTTCTCATGACTTGACACAGCTTCTCAGAGTTACATGACTTCAATTATTTCACTATGGATAACTCAGAAATTTATATCTCCAGTCCTGATATGTCTTCAGAACTTTAGTCCTATATTTCCAACATCCTTATTTAAATCTTCAACTAGAAATCACACTAGTTTCTCTGAGTCAGCATATCAAAACTTAATTTATTCTTCTACTTAAAAACCATCCTGCTTTTGACTATCCTAGCTTCTCTAACTCCAATTCTCTAGGACATCTTTACTCAAAATATATCATTCTTTCCTCCTCTTAATACATCCTAGATGTCCAGTAAGTGGCCAAGTCTCATTTATTCTCTTTCTTTGATACCTGTTCCAGTCAGGATTTTATCTTCTCTTGCTTACAAAAATCTCCTAATTGAAAGAGATGGAGCAGGGAGATCAGTTTATCCTAAACACTGCTGCCCCATTAACTTTCCTAATATAGGAGTACTAAGATTATGTCGCCTTTGTTCAGATAAAACTTTCAATAATTCTGTGTATAACAATCCCTAATCAATATACATGACATCCTAAAATCTAACTCTGATCCCATTTCTTAGTTAATTGTCACCTACCGGGTTGTATGTACTATAAACTCAGGCCGAGTTCTCTTACTCACCTTTATTCATATTGTTCCAGCATCTGGAATGTCCATCATTCAATTTTTTCATATGCAAATCCAACCCATCCTACCAAGTTCATTTCCAATGTTATGAATTTCATGAATCCTTCTTTCCTTGACCTGGACAGAAACAATCCACTCTCCCCTAACTATCAAATTTACTTACCACCTGTAGTGACCCTGCTGACAACTTGATTTTGGACTTGTAGCCTCCAAAACTGTGAGATAATAAATATTGGGTATTATTTATAAGCCAACAAGCTTGTGGTAGCTTGTCACAACAGCTCTAAGAAACTAATGCAATACTCATCTACACTTTTATTGAGACAGGAATTACTTTCTATATTTTATAGCACTTTATGTGTATGCCTTATTCCTTTACTAGAAAACAAAATTTTAAGGGAATAGTCCATATTTAATTAACATTTCTTAGCCCTACTGAGTCTACCACAATAGAATCATTGATTCATTATTCAACTATATTTAATAGTAGAAATATAGAAATGATCCCTTAGACCTTCATCATGAAATTGATAGTCTCCTAAGGAAATTAGACATGTAATAAGTGCAAACATAATTACAACATTACAAGCTGTGGTCCACATAAAGTGTTATGTATGCAAGACAACATTGAGTGGGGGAAATCTCTTATACTGTCCTTTGGGTGTTCAGGACAGAATTCTCAGAGAGAGTGTCCTTTGATTTGAACATTGAAGGACAGAAAATAATATCAGCCAGGTGAAGAATTTGGGGTAGAGAACGGAGTATGGGAGGGGAGAAAGCTCCAGACAGAAACTGCATATACAAAATCCTGTATTCAAATGCAAAGCTTTGAATCAGACTTTCTGTATTCAAAGAACTAAAAGGACTTCAGAGTGGCCAGAGCAAAGTGAGCAAAGCAGAATGGCTGGAGGTGTGGTCAGAGAAATGCCAGAGTGAGGAATTTTAATTTTATTCTGAATGCAGTGGGAAAGCACATAGTAGATACACACAAAAATACCAATTGAAGGATAGCTCAAGAATAGGACAAGATCAAAATTAATTCAAAGGTAAATAATATACACATGCTAACAAAATCCATACATTTATTTTAAATCCTTCCTGAAGGTTTACCTCTGAGTTTGAGGAGAGCTTGGACTTCTGAAATAGAGGTCTTATAATTCAAAACATATTTCTCACTTGCATAAACAGAGTAGATCTCTGACAACCTTCTAAGATAAGGTCAAGTTAATTTTATTTTCTTTCTAGTTAATAATTATTAAAATTCTGTTGTTGGTTAACGGATTTCTTGTTTTTGTTTATTTTTAAGTGGCTGTTGTGTAATGTAGAGATGCATACCAAAAATGTGTTTTGTTCCTAGAATGTATTTTTTATCTGTTAAACCTTAATCTCATTTTTAATTTTGGTGTATTTTATCATGTGCAATGACCGGGCACCTGGAGGCATAGAAAACCTTGAAAATAAATCATCATTATTCTCATTATTACTACCTACAACATGACTGGATTTCTGGATTGAAGAACAATCCAGGCTTTTTTTAAGTATGATGCATTAATAACATGGTATGCCACTAAGCCAGAATAGAGATATTGGTTTGTTTGCAAAGTGATGGAAATTATCCCCTTTTGCAATTAAAGAAGAAATAGAGTAGAGGGAATGTGGAAATTAAACCATAGAGAAGTAGCTTAAGCTCTAAAGATATGAGGATTTATCTGCTATAGCTCAGTAAAAAGACCCTGGAACCAGAAAATGTTATAGCGACAGGGAATCTTAGGAATTATTTATTCTAACCTCTTCATTTTGGAGACGAACAAAATTCAGGCCTAGAATTCCTATCCAAGTCATAGTTAAATAGTCAATGGCAGGGGCTGGTACTGTAATCCCAATACTCAGGAGCTAAATTACCACAGCCAAACCAGCTAATATGTGATCAAAGCCCCTATCATAACCCTTTCAAGGTCTTGTGTAGAAAAAGAAATATTAAGTGCAGGAGATGAGTCTATGTACAAACCTTAATTAATAAAAAATCTGAACAATATATATTACAATCCATTTACCTAATATACCAGATACTGTATAAAGAGTTGTCTGTAATCCTTGCTACCACACTCAGCAACTACCCAGCAAAGTAGGAACCATTCCCATTTTATAATGAAAAAACTGAGCCCCAGAACGATTAAGTAGCATCTAAAATTGCAAAGCCAGTAAGTGAGGTTTGTATTACTATTAGACCTCACTGATTCAAACTCTGTGCTATCTCCTGCTTGGTGTTTTTAAATCTGTTGCATTTAGTTATAGCCTAAGCTAGTGTGGTCACAGAGGTCATTAGTTCTCTAATAGCCCAAATGTCTAAAAGACTGAAAAAATTTAGGAGGGTAAGAAAAATAGTTACATTTAGCAGATGCCCTCTCCATAAAACTCTTCACATTTAATTCTCACAGCATTGACTGTAGATTGATGTCATAATCTTTAGTTCACAGTATCAGAAACTGAGGCTCAGTGAGATTACATTGCTGTATACATTTTAGTGGAAAAAAGCTTGAGCCTGCATTCATACTCTGATATATCTGACTGTAAGTGTTCTTCCTATTATTCTACCCACATCCAAGTCTGTTCTTCTCTTGGATGCTAGTTAGTTTTCTATGGTTTACGCACCTCATCTGGCAAAGTAGAATTGTAATACCTGCTGTCATAGACTTCCCAAAAAGAGAGAGTGCGTTGAGAGGTTGGCTTTATAATTATATCATAATGGCTGGAAATAAATGTAATGTCCTCTATACATTTCCTCCTTTGAAAAATGGGGATCTGGGAAGATTGGTAAGATCTTTAGCATTAGACTTTCATTTCTGCATCATCTTGATTTACTGTGTCTGTGCCCAATACCCCATCATATCACATATAATCGTTCCAATAACCTAGATCTACTGAAAAAAACCTTTGAAAAATGAATGAGAAGTAAAAAATTGTAATTATTAGACCAATAAGAAGGAATAATTCCAATGTTTAATAATTGGGGTTTGGTGTACATTTTTCTTCTTAAGACTAACTTAATTAAAGCCTTATAGTGTGATCAGAGGTAAAGGCCTATGAAGGTACTCAGCCTTATTGCTGCTATCAAAATGCAAAACTTTGGGGCCAGGCACGGTGGCTCATGCCTGTAATCCCGTCACTTTGGGAGGCTGAGGCGTATGGATCACTTGAAGTTAGGAATTCGAGACCAGCCTGACCAACATGGTGAAACTCTGTCTCTACTAAAAAATATAAAAAAAATTAGCTGGGGATGGTGGCAGGTTCCTGAAATCCCAGCTACTTGGGAGGCTGAGGCAGGAGAATCACTTAAACCCAGGAGGCGGAGGTTGCAGTGAGCTGAGATCGCACCATTGCACTCCAGCCTGGGCAACAAAGCAAGACTCCATCTCAAAAAAAAAAAAAAAAAGAAAAAGAAAAAGAAAAACTTTGAAAATTCAAACATACTTATGAATTGCTAGCACTGTTTTCTAAAGACCAGTGAGGAATACATTTGAAGTGAATCCCTTGGTAAAACCAGGACAGAGAGATGGACGGGGGTTGAAACATTGCTGATGATGGGTGCCACTGCAAACATAACCCTGAATTACCTTCCATGTGTGCCAACTTTAGGAGCACTGCATGTAAACACCCCCATTTCTGAAGAGGTCATTTTCTATTACTGACACACTTGAACAAGTATTCTAAAGCCAACTCTTACTGTAGAATAATTATCTGAGTCTGGGAATGGGATGTGGGGCATCAGTATACATAACAATTTTACGGTAATTAGAAGCAATGCTACCTGTTAGGGTCCTCCAGTAGTTGTTTCTTCCCCCTACTTCTTGAGCTTTGACTTCTGAGATTATCTGTGTGAAAGCCCTTAGCAGTCCATTGAAATCTTCTAAAGTAAGGCAGTTAAAAAATATCTTTCCTGCTTAGCAGAAGGGACTTTGTTCTTTGGCACCACCTTACTCTTTGCAATATGTTGCTAGTAGCCCTAAATCAGAATGTGCATTAATATATCTTTTGAATTGTTTGGTCTCCTCAGGAGAAAAAAAAATGTTTTCAACAATCTTATAATATTTTGTTAAAAATCCAATTCTGGTTCAATGTTTTGTTCTCAAAGGAATTTTGAATGAAGAAAAAGCTTTTGTAAGAGGGAGGAAGCTTATCTAATCTCTTCAAGACTGATGAGAAGCAATCAGGAGCTTGTGACTCTTTGAAACAGTAAATTTCTAGGGAATTGGGCACACGTTTCTCAGGAACAATAAAGAGTGTTACACTTCAGGTTGGCTCTAAATGCACCCCTTCATGTATCCCAAAAGGCAATTTGAAAGCACCGTTCTCTGAGTCAACTGGAAAAGGGAGGAAGCCATGCTGAGCTGAGATTCTTTCAGGGGGTCAAGAGACACTGAATACAGAATGAAGATCACTCTTCTGATTACTGTCGAATTCTCAGTTATAACCTTTTTTAATAAAATGTCTTCAAAGATGTAGGAAAATAAATTGGCTCAGACAAGAGAGTTACTGGATATTAGAAGATTTAGATTTTTGACAAGGTCTTCTACTTGTTTGCAAATGTACTATCTTGACCATATAAAATTTGCCTAACCTTTGCTAAAATTTCACTGAATTGTTCTTTGCTTACATTACTTGATATTTTAAGACTTTGTTAGATAATCAATAAGTGATAGATGTGTAGCATTGTTACTGTTGCCATGGTTACCATCAGTGTTCTCTTCCCTTCTCTAGGTTAGGGTTGGCAGGTACAGCTATGAACCTGGGTTCCACATCTAACCCCACATCTGCTCATCTTCTTGTAGCACTGGAAAGTGTGAGGGGCCTGACTAGACTCTGGCTGCTCAGTAGTTAACCTACACTCATCTCACCTGAAAAACTTGTCAGTGAAGTTTTAGTCACAAGCCTTTTAGAAGATAGAAAAACAGTTTGCATGGAAAGCTCTCATTTTTAAATAAAAACTGATTATATCAAGCTAAGTGAGACTCTCTAATTGATGACATAATACTGTCTACGTTATCATTGCTTACCACTAGCAAGGCAGCAAGTATAATTGGAAGGAAAGAGTATGGGGCTATCTGGAGACTTGATTCAGGTGTTGTCAGTTTTGTCTTAACATCATTTTCCTTATCTGTAGGGGACACTTTCTCCTATCTTAATGACACATGCAGAAAAGTCAAATGATATATGTGAAGCATTAAATATTTAGAGTTCCATGGAATAAGGCTAGTTTATAAATATCATATATTACAATAGAAGTACTAGTGGAAATGTAAATCACTTTGAGGTCTCAAGAGTAAGGTCCTTTATCTGAGTTCTTAGTGGTTGGAAATTTGTTTTTGAGTCATCATATAGGGAAGTCTTCTGTTGCTACTAAATACTGATCATGCATTGGAAACAATGAAGAATGAATTGCTAGTGATATATTACTTCTTTTAAATAGTTGCTTTAAAAGCATTTGTTACTATAAATTCTCTGAGAAGTTTCTCTCAAATTAAAAAAAAAAAAAACTTACTGTTATGTCTCCCCTATGATAGTCAGTGACTTTCTGGAGGGCAAAAAACCAGGAGTACCTCACTGATTTTCTTTCTTGGTCACCAAAGCTGGTACCAGATAGGTCTTCAGTGTTTGTTGAGCATCCTGTGTAAAAATTTAGTAATACTTTTAGTAAAATTTGTAAAAAAAAAAAAAAAAAGTATACTGATTTCTTGAATTGGACTACATGCATATCATATGATATGGACAGATGATTCATCCATGTTATTGAAGATAATGCAGCCATTAGGAAAAGAATGAATTATATCTATAGCTGTTAACCTGGAAGAATGACCATAATTTTCAGGGTAATGAGTATTTATGAATAAATATGTTGCGTATGTTTATATGAACATGAAGAAAGCTATAGAAAATAATTCATACCATATTCTTCACATTGGTTATTTCACAGAGTTGGGAACAAAAAAAGGAATCAGGAAAGATTATTAATTTTTTCTTTAAATAGCTTTTATTGTTTCACCAGTTACAATGAACATCTATTATTAAAGAAGTTTGCAAATTAATACATAAAATTGTTTTAAAAATTCTTTAATTCTCAGATAAGCAGACTGAGAAAAGTAATCAGCACACAGAAGTTTTAGTTTCATTTGTATTGCAACTTCTGCAGCACAAAAGAAAATGCATACTGTAAGCAGACTGATTCATTTAATCAACAAATATTTCCTGAGCTGTAGTTGGTACTAGTTCTTGTTAATGAAAATGTCTGTGTGTATGAGTGTGTGTGTGTTTGTGTGTGTGTATTCACCGTGCTTTGGTGTATAAGATAAATGTTTACTTAGATGATAAATTACATCATGTTTCACTTATAAACCTCAGGACAAGTGTTTAAATGGAACAAAAATATACACAATCAAGAGACTTGATGACATTTCCAGAACTCTATAATCTGCTTAAATATTTACCTGTTTATCTTCTTCTCACCTCATGACTTCCGCAGACCATTTTCATGACTTTTGTTCTAGTATAAGTTTTATAATAGCAGATCCTTATAATCTAGATATTAATTATCCTTGTAACTGATGCCTCTTCTACTCTTAACTCTAAAAGGATACTTAATCTTTTCTAGCTTGAGTGGATCTTTTGCTATTTATAATTCTAAATTTCTCTTCCCTTCATCTCAGTATGCTCCAGGCCCTAACCGGCTTTTAAAATTACCTTCACTTGTTTACTCTTAGCTCCCCCAACTCAGGATCATTTTGTCTCAGAGGTTCCTAATTCTAGCTGCATATTAAAACCTATAAAGTTTTTTTAAAATGTTAATGCATTGGACCCACCCAGATGTTCTGCTTTGGTTGTTAAAAGATGGAGTCTAGTTGCACGCTAACCGCTTATAGGAACCCAACTCCTGTTTCATCTTAAAATTTTCAATTCAGTGAAGTCAAATTTAACATGCTTCTTCACATTGGAAACCATTTTTCTGGATAGTGACTGCTTCTCTAACCAGACAATAATAAAGCTTTAACATTATGCATAATACAGCTCTATGTATCATCACACAGATATGCATGTGACATGCATACAAACACATATGTTAAGCTAATGACCAAATTTGAACACATAAGTTGATAAATATACAATTGCTCTTTAGATCCTATGCATGAAAATAATTAATTAGACCTTGTGACCAAACTTGAAAGGTCCCCTGATATGGTTTGGCTCTGTCCCTACCCAAATCTCATCTTGAAGTGTAGCTCCCATAATCTTCGTGTGTTGTGTGAGGCACCCAGTGGGAGGTACTTGAATCACAGGGGCGGTTTTTCCTGTGCTGTTCTCATGATAGTGAATAAGTCTCATGAGATCTGATGGTTTTATAAAGAGTAGTTCCCCTACACACACACTCTCTCGCCTGCCTCCATATAAGACATGTCTTTGCTCCTCCTTCACTTTCTGCCATGATTGTGAGGCCTCACCAGCCATGTGGAACTGTGAGTCCATTAAACCTCTTTTTTAAATAATTACCCAGTCTTGGGTACATCTTTATTAGTAGTGTGAGAGCAAATGAATACATCCTGTTTAAACCTAACTATTGTAAATGAAATGTCCTATATTCCTAAAGAGTGTCAGAATATGACTTGAGTCTGACTAGTGAGGAAAAAACTGGTGGCTGACAATAATGTCAAAAGGAATGCACAGTTGATAGCCAAAAGGTGAAAACAATCCAAATGTCCATGAATGGACAAATGGATTAACAAAATGTGGTCCATACATAGAATGGAATATTATTCCTCCTTAAAAAGAAATAAAATTCTGACATATGCTATAGCATGGATAAAACTTTAATGCATTGTGCCGAGTAAGTACCTAGTATAGTCAAATTCCTAGAGACAGAAAGTAGAATAGAGGTTACCAGGGGCTAGGAGGAAGGGGAAATGGGATTATTATGTAATGGTTACACAGTTTGAATATGGAAAAGTTAAAATGTTCTAGAGATGGAGGTGGTTTTGATACTTGCATAACAGTGTGAGTATACATAATGCCACTGAACTGTACACTTAAAAATGGTTAAAATGGTCAATTTTTAATATATATTTTACCACAATAAAAAAATGTACCTTTGAAAACTCTTTAAAAATATCAGTGAAAATACATTGCAGTTACAGGGTTTAGAAGAAAAATTGAACTACATAGTCTGTTCACAGAATCATTAGATTTTTATGAAATATGGTAATTTATTGGCTTAAGTAACAGTCTTTACCTTGCTGTCATACTTACAAAATTCAAATACTAGTGTTATCCTTGATTAACAGGCAGTAATGACTGTAATGAACTATTAGAGACTATGTTTTAAACAAGCAGAGAATTATTTAAATTTGTAGCTATGTTAGACATTCTCATTTTGGTCAACTAATGGCAGGGAGGTAGAACTGCAGGTTTCTTTTTCATCAACAGTGTTATCTCTTACCAAATTATCTTATTAGTAGGAGAAACCATGGCTTTATTTGAGCCTGTATTTTCCAATAATTCAATATGTAATCAGTTACTCCCTTTTTTCCTCTGAAAATGTTGAATATTTTTACTGACATTAATAAACTTCTTGGTATACAGTTCTATGAATTTTAACATATATATAGATTTATGTAACAAGCACCACCACCACTATCAGAATATGAAAGAGTTCCATCACACTGAAGAACTTCTTCCTTTATCCATCCTCTCACCACTAACTCATGGCAACCACAGATCTTTTTATCATTATAGTTTTGTCTTTCCAAGAGTTGTCATATAAATGGATATATATGTATACGTGTCATATAAATGGATATATATGTATATATGTGTATATATATGTGTATATACGTGTATATATGTGTACACACGTATATATATGTATATATATGTGTGTGTGTGTGTGTGTGTGTGTATATATATATATATATATATATATATATATATATATAACCTTTTAAGACTGGCTTCTTTCACTCAGCTTGATGCATTAAGACTCATTCATGGCTGGGTATGGTTAGCTCATGCCTGGAGTTCCAGCAGTTTGGGAGGCCAAGGGAGGAGGAATGCTTGAGCCCAGGAATTCGAAACCAGCCTGGACAACACAGGGAGACCCTGTCTCTAAGGAAAAAAAATTTTTAATTGACTAGGCATGGTGATGTGCACCTGTGGTTCCAGCTACTTGGGAGGCTGAGGCAGGAGGATCACTTCAGCCAGGGAGGTTGAGACTGCAGTGAACCATGATCATGCACTTTAGTCTGGGCAATAGAGTGAGACCCTGTCTTTAAAAAAATAAAATAAAATATTCTTTCATATCATTGCATGTTTCACGATTTGTTTCTTTTTTATTGCTAAGTAGTGTTCCTTTGTATGGATATACAGAAGATCATTTACCATTAATTCACTGAAAGACATTTGGGTAATTTCCAGTTTTGCATTCCCACTGGCAATGTATAAGAGTTTCAGTAGCTCCATATCCTTGTCAATATCCTTGTCAATACTTGATATTAGTATTTTTTTATTCTAGTCATTATAAAAGGTGTGTAATGGAAATACTTTTTTTCTTTTAGCCACATTTTTTTTTCTTCAAACTGTAGAAGATAATGTGATTCTGGAGCCATAATCTTTTCTGATTCTCCTTTTCAGTACTTTCTATTTCTATGTACTATTTTCCACAGGAAAAAGATCTATTATTATTATATTTCTGATACTATTATTTTCCCCCACTCCTCTTGGAAATTCTGTTTTTTCCTATGACAGTATATTAATTCAATTTTTTAGTTTTTCTGAAATTCCTTTTTTTGTGTGATTTCACTTTTATGTGGAATCTTTTTAAAAAGAAGCTGAAAACCATCATTCTCAGCAAACTAACACAAGAACAGAAGACCAAACACCGCATGTTCTCACTCATAAGTGGAAGCTGAACAATGAGAACACATGGACACAGGAAGGGGAACATCACACACTGGGGCCTGTTGGGGAGTGGGGGTCTGGGGAAGGGATAGCATTAGGAGAAATACCTGATGTAGATGACAGGTTGATGGGTGCAGCAAACCACCATGGCACGTGTATACCTATGTAACAAACCTGAAAGTTCTGCACATGTATCCCAGAACTTAAAGTATAATAATAATTAAAAAAGAAAAAAAAAGAAATGGTGTTTCTCACTACTATGGCTTGTGATGTATTGAAAACATGGCTGTTCACTACCATGGCACACGTTTGCCTATGTAACAAACCTGCACGTCCTGTACATGTATCCCAGAACTTAAAATTAAATTAAGAAAAAAAAAGTAGATTTCAAAAGTGTAAAGAATAAAATGGTGATTGCCAGGAGCTGGGGACAGGGATATCAGGAGAAGTTCGTCAAAGGGTACACACTTTCAATTATAAGATGAATAACTTATGGTGATCAAATATACAGCATAGTGACTATAGTTAATAATACTGACTTGCATCCATTAAATTTACGCAGAGAGTAAGATCTGAAGTATTCTCAGCACACACACATACTCACACACATGCACAATGGTAACTATATGAGGTGATGGATATGTTAATAATCTTGACCGTGGTAATGTGTATTTGATAACCATCACATTGTACATATTAAATGTGTAAAATTATTGTCAGTTTTACCTCAATAAAACCAGGAAAAAATACTGAAAACTACTCCAAAACACAAAGTAAAATATAATAATAATAAATAACAATCAATTCCACCACTTAAAAAATAAATTTTAACTGGAAGTGAAAAAACTTCCCTCTGTCCCTAAAATCTTCTTCTGTCACCCCCTAAGATAACCACTGATAACATTCAACACCTGATGTGCTAATCTGAAATAATTTTATTTCAGCTACCGTGTTCTTAATATAATTTGTCTCCACATTAGACGTACAAAGAGAATATAATTTAATAGTTTGAAGATTATCCTTTCCTGTTGTATTATGTGTTTTTCATCTAACTGGCTGAGATACAGCAAGTTTTCTCTCCAATTATATAATTACCTAAATAGCATGACATCTCTGATTTTGCCTCTTGACCCACAAAGCCTAAAATATTTAAGATTTTATCCTTTTTGGAAAAGGTTTGTCAACTCCTATTTCAGCTGAAGGATCTAAAGCCCAGAAAAGTTAGATGATGTTCCCAAGGTATTGGTTAGATCCATTTTGTGTGTGTGTGTCTTTTGGGGTCAGACTATTCTGATATTGTATGGATTCTGGAGTATGTCTGGTTTGAATCCTACATCCACCCGTTACTACCCTGGTGATCTAGAGCAAATGACTTCCCTTTGCCTCAGTTTCCTTGTTTATAATATAGTATTGTTGTTAGCATTAAATGAGATAATATATGTGAAATAATTACAGTGTGCTTTGCACATGGTTAGTACTCCAGTTAACTGTTAGCTATTGTTATAATTAGTGTCAATGTGTTGAATTCATAGGCTATCCTAAAGAGAAGGGATAAATGTTCACATCTGATCCAGTCTCATTTTCTTAAAATAGCAGCGATGTTATATCATCTGTAATCTGAGGAAAAACTGGCATTTATTCACATTCTTATTTTTGTAGTATGGTTTATTCATCCTTCTTTTCAATAACTTTACAAGTTAATAGAAATTATGAACTTCTAAAATACATGCATAATTTATAATATTGATTAACTTAAACACAGAGCACTCAAATGATAACCACATAGCACACCTTCCCTGAGTCCAGCAGATGATAGTGAAAACTCTTTGTTCTCTCATGCTGTGTATCTTGAGGACATTTTCA
This sequence comes from Homo sapiens, assembly GCF_000001405.40. Lineage (NCBI taxonomy): Eukaryota > Metazoa > Chordata > Mammalia > Primates > Hominidae > Homo > Homo sapiens. The sequence goes on along the minus strand of NC_000003.12, from coordinate 114,784,507 downwards.
CTATATTTAAGACTACTTGAACTGATTACAATTCTTTTATGATTGGGCAGTGGATCAGTGGCTGGGTTTTTAAAAATCATATTTAATTGTATTTTGTGCAATGGTGAAGTGTTATATTTCTGTTCACTCTTTTCTGTTATTCACACAAAACATTACTTGCCCAGTTTATTGTTTCTGTTCATCTACTGCTTAGACTACAAAGCCATGATGTTGAGCTAGATGAAATCCAGTTAGATAAATGCAGTATATATTGGATCAGTTAGTATTTTACTCTGTTAGTCCTCTTGCCTGTGGCAACTCTAGTTAACTATAGAAAGAAAAAAAAAGTTCTATTCCTCCAAAAGAATTAAAATGAAGGAGGACAGCATATTTTCTGCTTTAAAAAATCTAGAATTGTGGTTTCTAAAGAAAACCCACTGTGTACTTGATAATTTCTAAAGAAAAATTTGTTATGGACTATAGGTTATACCTTGCATTTAAGAACCACAACGAAAAGACCAACTTTAACTTCTCCTCATTAAAATGATAAGAATTGGTATTGCCTATAATTGTTTCCACTGTGACTCCTATGTGGTTTTTGTTCAATATACTAGTCCAAACAAGATTTTACTCTTCTCAGCCCTGTAGATCTAATCTCACAAAACTAAGCATATTTTTTTCAGTTTCATACATCATCACCATCATCTTCCTGAGGATGTATTTTTTTTTTTTTTTTTGAGGCAGAGTCTTGCTCCGTCACCAGGCTGGAGTGCAGTGGCGCGATCTCAGCTCACTGCAACCTCTGCTTCCCAGATTCAAGCAATTCTTCTGCCTCAGCCTCCTGAGTAGCTGGGATTACAGGCACGTGTCACCAGCCCAGCTAATTTTTCTATTTTTAGTAGATACGGGGTTTCACCATGTTGGTCAAGCTGGTCTCGATCTCGTGACCTCGTGATCCACCCGCCTCAGCCTCCCAAAGTGCTGGGATTACAGGCATGAGCCACCGTGCCTGGCCAAAAGATGTATCTTAACAGAAGAGAAACACTGGAGTAGGAAAAATGCTGCCATGTTTAGTCTTAAGGAATTTAAGAAAATAAATTGATTTGTGCTTCATGAATCCATAATTAAATAGGTAGTTCAAGAGGCAAGATTTTGAATAGCAAACAGTATAAGTAAGACCCAGATGTGGCAGTCTACTCTGTAGGTAAACAAGACCAAATCAGAAGAAATTCAAGGTCAATAAAAACCACCAGCACTTTATCCAAATATAGTTCTGCCATATTTATGTAATGAGTTTAAGTATAAATTGCTTATAATTACATATTTCCATAACATGTAGTACTTTACCTAACATAATATGTATTGCATTATAATTATTAATTTAATTGTCTGAACCTACTTCTTATGCAGAGACTTTATTCTGTCTTGACCACCGTGGTTTCCAATGTACTCAGCACAGTTCGGAATTTGATATTCAGTAGATTATCACATTAGGTTGAAAGAGTGAATGGATGAATGAATATTCATGAATAAATGAATTTTTTAAAGGACATTATTATTATTTTATTTACTGGACTGATTGCCATACAGGGATATATGCATCAAATAATAGCCAATTTTTCAAGTATATTGGGAATTAGGAATACCTTTGATGTTTATGTCACCTATTCACAGGACTTTCAACTTATCTCTGCATATCAGCCAGTTTCTACATTAAGGATATAAGCTCTATTTTCACAGATTTAGATTTAGTATTTGCATCAAGATCCTGCTCAAATATTACCTTCTCTACTAAAATTACCTTAATTCCACCATCTATAATTAATTGCTTATTCTCTCATCTCCCACAACACATTATCTAGGACTCTATTTATTGAATTTATTTTCAGGCTTTTTCCATGGTTTATTAGGCAGATTATATTTGCACCCAACATTAACATTGCACTTAGTTACTCAAATATTCATGCATTTTTAAAAAAGAAAGTTATTATGGTTAAGGGGAAAAAAAACTTACACATGTATAAACTTCAAAAATATTTCATGCTCACTTAGAGCATTTATCCCCAGCACAGAGATCAGAGATCCATTGTCAGTACCATAATAGCTAGCTACTTCTACTTCAACACGCCCCTCCATTGGATAGAACCTGTGAGTCTTAGCTCTCGCTTTAAAATCAATAGCCTCCCCCATTGTAGTAACTGTTATTAATTAACTAAGTCATTCAATCCAGAAATATGCCACTGAGCAACTACTGAGCAAAAGTGAATGGGACAGTTTTTGTCTTCAAGTAGAAGACCATATAATAACAAAAAAAAGTATATGTAAACAAATCATTACAAAGCAGCAGGTTAAAGGCTTTGAGACATGTATAAGATACTGTGGGAGCATATAGGTGGAGCATTTGCTTGCTGAAGAGCCAGCACCTCCACTTTCCTCAGTGAGTGCTTTCATGTTCTCCATATCAGAAGATGTATGCATCCTGCTAAGCCTCTTCTGCTCCCCCATTTTCTCCTTTGCCTTGTGTATTAGTCTGTTCTCACAATAAAGACATGCAAGACTGGGTAATTTATAAAGAAAAAAAGGTTTAATGGACTCACAGTTTCACGTGGCTGGGTAGACCTCACAATCATGGCGGAAGGTGAAAGTCACATCTTACATGGCAGCAGGGAAGAGAGAAGGAAAGAGCCAAGCGAAAGGGGAAACCCCTTATAAAATCACCAGATCTCATGAGACTTATTCACTACCACGAGAACAGTATGGGGGAAACCGCCCCCATGATTCAGTTATCTCCCACTGGGTTCCTCCCACAATATGTGGGAATTATGGGAGCTACAATTCAAGATGAGATCTGGATGGGGACACAGCTAAATCATGTCATCTTGTGAGAGTCACTTCTCAGTTACTTTAAGCCACAAATGGGTGTAGCATTTTAGATTACTCCCCTTAAAAGGATGAGAATATCTGTCTCAAACATGTCTAAAGAAACCACACTAAGGCTTTTCCTCATACTATTTCATTAATCCTACTGAAATAAAATATTGGTATGAATTAAGTTAGGCAGCCATTTGAAAGACAAAATGCCTTAACAAGTCCCATTAATGAGAAACACCTTATCTCCCCCCTGCAAAATGTTTAACAGGCTTGTACATATTAGAAGTAACAGCTAACATTTATTAATTACTATGTGCCAGTCCCTGTTCTAAAAGATTTATATGTAAATTTATGGCATTCCATCCTCACAACAACTCTTGTAAATAGTCACTGTTGTTATCCTAATTTTACTGGTGAGGAAACTGAGGCACAGAGAGAAAAAATTTGCCCAAGGTCAAGGATGGGGCAAAATCAAAATTCAGTCCCAGGGAGTCTGATTCCACAGCCTACATTAAAAAAATTAGTTTTTAACTTTTGTGAATACATATTAGGTATATATATTTATTCCTTAGTATCAAGTCTTCAAATTAAAATTTGCCTTTATATGACTCTTAAAAATGTTTGTTTTTTCTTTATAGAATAATATTTATTTTAAGATAGAGTTTTACAATGGTTGTTATGTTTCCTTCAACTTGCATATTCTGGGGAAGTGAGAGGTAATATACAGTGTAAATGAATGAACAGTTAGCATGTTGGTAATACAGAATATGTTTGCTTATTTATGGTAAGTCATATGATTCCCTAGAGGTAAACCTGTCTAAATTGTTTACGTGTTTATAATCTAAGTGATTATTTTAAAAATGGATACTACGGGCCAGGCGTGGTGGCTCACGCTTGTAATCCCAGCACTTTGGGAGGCCAAGGTGGGCTGATCATGAGATCAAGAGATCGAGACCATCCTGGCCAACATGGTGAAACCCCATCTATACTAAAAATACAAAAATTAGCTGGGCATGGTGGTGCATGTCTGTTGTTCCAGCTACTCAGGAGGCTGAGGCAGGAGAATCGCTTGAACCCGGGAGGTGGAGGTTGCAGTGAGCCGAGATCGCACCACTGCACTCCAGCCTGGCAACAGAACGAGACTCCGTCTCAAAAAAAAGAAAAGAGAAGGATGTTACCAACTTTGTACTATTTAAGCTAGTCTCTAGCAATGACATGGATATATATTAGAGAATGCATCTCTGCTTAGTGCTCTGCACCAATGAAAAAGCCTTTCTGTTTTTCCTCACTCTTCACTTCCAACTTTCTACTATTAATTCTTTTTCTCCTTTTCTCTTCATATAACAACCATTTTTGTCTTAATGAAAAACTTAAAGTAGGCTTTATTAAAACACTCACATATTGTTTCTTCATCTGTAAAATGAAGGATTGGATTACATGATCTTAAAAGTCCCTATGGGAAGACTCCATGATCTACATGTTTGATGGAGATACCATTTTATTAAGAAAAAAATTATGCAATAATCTATTACCAAGACACATATCATGACAATCATTGATACAGAACATTTTTATTCAGGATTTAAAGTCTGGTTTTATTCAGGATTTAAAGTCTGGTTTTATTCATTACAGATTTTTAAAAATTCACTAAACTACTTCAAAGAAAAAAATAACTTCATAATTTTTGTGTATGTAATTTGCCTGTGTAGAGGGGAATTGTATAAATCTACCCACTTTGAAGACCTAAGTGTGTAATCAAGGGGTGTTTATTGGAAAATTTATATTAAGTAACTGATAACCTGGGATTTTGATTAATTTGTGTCTTAGAAACATTATGACTAAGAAACTAGAGACAAGTCCTTGTTCATTTGTAAGATTCCTAAGTGTATCTCATATCTTTCCAAATGTTCTTGACTCTTGATTTTAAAGTCCCATTTATCTCAACCATTTCTCCATCACAGCAAACTTTATCATACTAAAGGCATCCTCTTATATTTGTTATAGCACAGTACAGATTATTAGCTTTCAGGATCATAATCTGTGCTAAAAGGGTTAAGGTAGTTTTGTAGTAGGATTTTTAAAAATTATTTTATATTTTATCTCTATAGCACTCAATAATTTATCACAAAGGTTACAAACCCAAATGAACCAATCTGCACTGATCCTGGCCACCCATTCTTCGGTGCCGTGAGTTCTATGTCAACTAGTTACTACTTAACTTCTTACCAGGGGTGATAGAACTAAGAGAAGATAGTAACAGGAAAAGAATGTTCTCAACCCTCTAGGAACTCAGAAATAGGTGAGATAGTGATAAATGGGAATGTTAACAATTGCCTATTGGGTTGTTGGAAGGGTTCATAAACAAATAAAGAGTACCTGTAATTATATGGCACTATGAAAATCTGCATAGTTTTTTTATAGAAAGGATATGCATCCTGTCCTTCTAAAGATAAGTTAGGTGTACATAGTGTTAAAGCAAATAGAACAAGGAGACAAGGAGAGTATGAAGTTGGAATTCATATCGACTGCTCAGCACCCCAGATAGTGGAACTCAGTGGCCTCTGAAGTCCTGAGATTTGAACTGCCTTGAGTCCCCCTGGTATTATTAGGAAATTGAAAAGACAACACATTGAGATTCCCATTTTTCATGTTTATTGAAATGAAGGTGTATAGGGATAACTATTAGAATTTCTTTAGCCTCCTGGTACTTTGAATGACTTATGTTATCTTTCTTTTGGTACAGTAGTTATGTTAATCATCAGTTACTTTTTTTAATTTTATTTAAAAATAGACTGTTCTTCTTGTTTTGAAAACTACTGCCAAATGAATACTCTGTGTTAATATGAAAGTAGCAAAAAATAAATGACTCTGTCCATCTTTTACATGTTCTGTCATTGGACTATTTTCTCCAAAAGAAGGATTCTATCTCTAGTAGCTTTTCAAAGGTACTAGAGAACGCAGCCAGCATTTCTACTTGATTTTCTCAGTTCTTCTCATTTGCTGATTGATCTAGAATCTCTTTAAGCTTTCCATAATCTTATTTCTTTATCTGTATCTGTAGTCTACATCTATTAGCTTCATGGTGATTACGAAGATTAATGGTTTGGTTGTTGAAAAGCCATATAGCTAAGAAGAATCATAGAGTTCAGGTGTATTTTTAGTTCTTTATTAATAATGCTGCTACCAAGTGTTTTTAACGATGAACTAGAGAAAGGGATAAACTGGGTGGTTTGGTCACAATAATTTTGCTATTGGACTTTTCCAATTTTAAGTTATTGGGTTTTTTGTTGTTGTTGCTGTTTTGTTTTGAGATGGAGTTTTGCTCTTGTTGCCGAGGCTGGAGTGCAACGGTGTGATCTTTTTTTTTTGAATGTGTATTATTATTATTATTATTATTATTATTATTATTATTAACATACTTTAAGTTTTAGGGTACATGTGCACAACGTGCAGGTTTGTTACATATGTACACATGTGCCATGTTGGTGTGCTGCACCCATTAACTCGTCATTTAGCATTAGGTATATCTCCTAATGCTATCCCTCCCCCTTCCCCCCACCCCACAACAGTCCCCAGTGTGTGATGTTCCCCTTCCTGTGTCCATGTGTTCTCATTGTTCAATTCCCACCTATGAGTGAGAACATGCAGTGTTTGGTTTTTTGTCTTTGCGATAGTTTGCTGAGAATGATGGTTTCCAGCTTCATCCATGTCCCTACAAAGGACATGAACTCATCATTTTTTATGGCTGCATAGTATTCCATGGTGTATATGTGCCACATTTTCTTAATCCAATCTATCATTGTTGGACGTTTGGGTTGGTTCCAAGTCTTTGCTATTGTGAATAGTGCCGCAATAAACATACATGTGCATGTGTCTTTATAGCAGCATGATTTATAATCCTTTGGGTATATACCCAGTAATGGGATGGTTGAGTCAAATGGTATTTCTAGTTCTAGACCCCTGCGGAATCGCCACACCGACTTCCACAATGGTTGAACTAGTTTACAGTCCCACCAACAGTGTAAAAGTGTTCCTATTTATCCACATCCTCTCCAGCATCTGTTGTTTCCTGACTTTTTAATGATCGCCATTCTAACTGGTGTGAGATGGTATCTCACTGTGGTTTTGATTTGCATTTCTCTGATGGCCCATGATGATGAGCATTTTTTCATGTGTTTTTTGGCTGCATGCAATGGTGTGATCTTGGCTCACTGCAACCTCTGCCTCTTGGGTTCAAGAGATTCTCCTGCCTCAGCCTCCCGAGTAGCTGGGATTACAGGCATGCACCACCATGCCCGGCTAATTTTGTATTTTTAGTAGAGACAGCATTTCTCCATGTTAGTCAGGCTGGTCTTGAAGTCCTGACCTCCCTCGGCCTCCCAAAGTGCTGGGATTACAGGTGTGAGCCACCATGCCCAGCCAAGTTATTGTTTTAATATATCTATTTAAGAATTCTTGGGTTTAGGTTCCATATTATCTTTGGGTTAAACCTTAAAAATAGATTTTTCTTTGAATAGCTAAAGGAAAGTTACCTCAAGTGCAGATAGAGGATCTTTATTTTTATAATACAGTATATATGTGCCAAATATAGTTTATATTTGCCAAATCAAATGTCACTAAAGTTAATGATACTGATAATTGATTTAGGGGGAAAATGGCTGGTAATACATTATGTGTGTAAGCATTAACTTAAATGGAAAATACTATAGATTTGTCCTACTTCATAAAAAATGCAAACCAGCATTAGAAAATTAGAACATTTACATTCATAATCTGTTTAATCTTCTGTTGAATGCCCTTGTGCACTCTCTTTGCCCTGTTTTAGTTCCCTACTTGCTGTAGATTATAAGTGCCCTTAATATCTCCAGTATCTCCACAGAGAATTTTGTCTTCAAGCCTTGGCATCCTGTTTTCCACTGTGCCTTCAACCTGAGACTTCAGTGATTTCACAAATGCTCTGAACAATGGAGTTTTGAAATGGTTACCATTTGTATTAGTTTCCTGTGGCTGCTATAACAAACTACCACAAGCCTGGTGACTTAAACCATCAGAAATCTATTCTCTCACAGTTCTGGAAGCCAAAAGTCCAAAATCGGTATCATTGGGCGAGAAGCAAGATGTCAGCAGGGCTGCATTCCTTCTGGATGCTCTAGGGGAGAATCCTTTTCTTTGCCTTCCTCAGCTTCTGCTGACCACTACCGTTTTTTGGCTTGTGGCCACATCACTGCAATCTCAGCTTCTCTGGTCACATTAAGTTGGCCTCTTCTGTCCATGTGGAATCTTCCTGTTACAAGGATACATAGAATTGTAGTTAGGGCCCATCTAGATAATCCAGGATAAGCTCCATATGTCAAAATTCTTAATTTAATTATACCTGCAAAGTCTTTTTTTTTTTTCATTTAAATTAATATTCAGACTCCAAGAGTTAGAACGTGGACACATTTTGAGATGTCATTATTCAGCCCACCACACCATGTTTACCTTTGTACCTGCTCTGCATTCTTCCCTTGTTCTCCCTTCTCCTTTCCGCTAGCACTGTCAGCCAGGCCAAGAAAAAACAAGAGTTGTCCAAAGGCTTAACTTTCCTGTCCGCACTTTGTATGTTAGTAAAAAAAAAAAAAAAAAGAAAAAAAATTGGAGGAGTAACAACATGGCAGATCCAGGCATCAAGATTTTACAGGGTTGAAGAAAACTAGGTCCATGATCAATGGTCTGCAGATTTGTAGATTTTACATAATTTCTTTGGCCTGGTTCACATAATTTCCATCCTAATCCTAAAGACACTGTACCTGAACAGACCCAGTTCTGCCTTTCCTCAGTGTTAACCTTCCTCCATCATTGTGCCTAAGGCAAGAAGAATCCAACAGCTCAATCAAATGTCAACTCCCTGTCACACTCCATTCAGGAAAACTGTACCATAGCAGTGGGTCTTGAGTATTCTTATGCTACATAATGAAGAGGGACATTGCAGAAAGGTGGCTGTCGGGAAAACATCTGGAAGAAATAAATTTCCTAGGATCAAAGGGCTCCGTGTGCAGCCCAGAGGGTCCTCAGGGTGCTCCTCAGAGCAAACAAACAGTTTTCTTGATGAGTCACTGCAATTTTTTTTTTTTTTTGCCAAAAGCCCACATGTATTGCAAGATCTCAAGGAAAAGAGGTGGAGTAAGGAGAAAGAAAAAAAAAATTAAATAAGGCAACAGAAGTCATTTTTAAGAATTTTAACCACATGAATAAAAGAAATATCAACATGATTACAATCTTTTAATATATCCACCATCCTCAACATTCTGTCATGTATATTGCCCCAGAGTAAAGTTAAGTATAAGATAAAATATGTTTAAAAACACAAAAAACAAGTGGGGCAAAGGAAGGATCTTGGGGAAGAGTACAACACTCTGATACAACATATTTTTTTTGTTCTAACATATGAAAATTGGCATAGGATGGTGAAGCCCAGGACTGTGTCCCGAAGCCTAGCCAGTGGCATTTTACTGAGGAAAAAAAAAAAGTTACTTATGAATCAGTACAGCCATGCTTTGTTCTGCATGAGTGTTTTAATAGAGCGAGTGTAATATAAGGATCAGGTGGGCTCGTGGGAATGGAACAAAAGGTTTTGTAAAATTAAAGCAAAATAATTATAGCTCTAGGTGCAAAGCAAGCATACTCCAGCAGTTGATAGCAAGGACCTGCTCAGAATAGAGAAGGAAGGGAGCATGCTGGAAGTTTTTTCTTTTCTTTTCTTTTTTTTTATTCACTAACAAAGGCTTTTAATAGGTAACAGTTGTAAAGCATCTTTGAGAGTAATTAATGCACCCACACAAAAATTTATTAAAATGAAAATTTAAGGAATTGTCTAAAATGAATTAATTAACAAAAAAAGAACATCATGCCTTTCTTATTTTTTAAAGAAGGAGAGAAGGTTAAGCAAAGCAGATTTTTGTGAGATTGTATTTTTAAATGTTCCTGGTTTATTTAGTATCTGAATAGCCCTTAAAAAGAGAGTTGGCGAGATTTGTTATCCACCCCCTTTAGAAATATTAAATGGGGACAGACATAAAATGGGGATTAATTTGCTATAAATGAGCCTCAAAGCCCCTTGAAATTATGGTATCTCCTTACAAAATGACTGAAGTTTTTAATAAGTTTACAGGGACCTCTAGGAAGCAGAATGTGGTATTCAAAAGAAAGGAATGTGTGTACATTTTCTCACGTGGCCATTTCTATCCTGCATTGCCCTTACCCAGGTCATTGGAGCTATCCTTCCATGTGTGGCCTCCATGGAAGACAAAAGGGAAGATTCAAAGTGTGGTATTAGTAATTTTTAGCTCAGTATATTTTCTATCTCAACAGAAAAATAAAATTAACTTCATTTATCCTGTTTCTATAAGAATTTTAAATCATTATATTGGTTTGTTCCCCTTATTTTCTTTCATATTATTTCATACTGTGATATAATTATAAAGTAGAATATGTGCAGCGTGCTGAGAATTTACCTTTTACTGTGAAAATTATTTCTAGTCGATTGCAAAAGTATTTGTTTTCAGCATGTTGTTGGTAGTTATACCTCAAAAAGTTTTAGGTTCTGAAGTTGAGTAAATTTTCAAAGGTTAACTTTTCTAAATCTTCAATGCCGAAAATCATTGGAAATAACTGCCTTTCTTCCAATATTCCTTTGTTCAGTTAAGACCAGAAGCTAGCTGTGTAAAAAATATGAGTAAGAAAGAAAATTCATTTTGGAAGATAAATTTTAAAAACTAGCTTTGGTGATGACATATAAAAATAAATAATCATAGTTTTTGAAGATAATTTCCTTTAAAGGTATGATTATAAGACAACTTGTATAGTAGGCAAAACATACCCCAGTAGGCATGTGATCTGTGAATTTTGGGTACATTTGCCTGGACTTTCTTTCTCTTTTTTTCATTGTTTCTTAAATGTTCATTATCTTCATGCCTTTATAAACTTTCAAGCTCTTTTCAGATTTTTCCTGTTGAAGAGAGTGGATTTAGTTGGTTTGAGTAATGTTGCACTGTTAGTATAGTATTCTTGCCTGTGAGGAAGAGCACATTTGTGAAGTTCCTTGGTGAGGACAATTTGCACTTGAGTAGATATACACTCCCTGTGTTCTTTTTCCTTTAGTCTCGAGGTATTTTACTTTCTCTGAGGATATGACTAAAAGAAGGAATATCGGGGAAAATGTATTTATAGTGTTAAGAACTTTCTTTTTTCATAGTAGTGGTTCCTGTCCCAATTCTTTACTCTATGATTTTAAACTAATGTGTCTGTTGGCCTTTGGACTGGGATAGTATGTTGGATAATATATTTGTTTTCTGTTGCTGTTGTACCAACCACAAACTTAGCAGCTTATGACAATACAAATTTATTATTTGACAGTTCTGCAGATCAGAAGTTTAGATTGGCTCTACCAGTTTCTCTGCTGTAGGCTTTACAAGGCCAAAATCAAGGTGTCGGCTGGATTCTTAACTGGAGGAAACTCTGAAAAAAAATCCACTTTCATGCTTATTCAGTTCCTCATGGTTGTGGGACTAAGATCTCCATTTCCTTGCTATCAGCTGGGAACCATCTTTAGATCCTTGCATGTGTGCTGTCCCTATATGTCAGAGCCAGCAGCAGCACCTTGAATCATTATTACACTTGACATCTTTCAAATTTCCCCTTCTACCACACCTCTTTTCCAAATTCCAGCCAAAAAAGTTCTCTGCTTTTAAGATGATTAGACTGGGCCAGCTTGGATAATCTAGGATACTCTCCCTGTTTTAGTGTTAACAACCTTCATTACATTTACAGAGTCGCTTTTTCATGTAACATAACATTTTGCCATGTACCACAGGTTCTGGGCTTTAGGCAGTGGGCATTTTGGGGTGCAATTATTTTGCCTCCCACAGATGAATTCTAAAAGAATGAGTCACCTACCTCCATCATACATTTCTAGAGTACTCTGAGTATTCTAGTGCTTTTGATCTAGAAGTAGAAGATTCAGTATGAATTCTCACCTTCTAAATGCTATTAGTAGATTTTTTTAATATATATGTTATGAAACTTGGTAAAGAGTATTTATTTTCTGTTTGATAAACAGAATAACTAGGGGCGAGGGAAAACCAAGTTGACCATTAGGGCTTGAGGTAGACCAGAAATTTTTTGGTTTATGGCAGTGGTTTTATTTATCCTAATCCTTTTAATCACTACAAAGCATACTAGAACCATAGAGAGAGCCCAGCTGGGAAAAGGAAGTAAGCCCAGATCAAGTGAATCAGAAATGAGATTACTAATTTATTTTTTATTTTATTTTATTTTTTTGAGACGGAGTCTCACTCTGTTACCCAGGCTGGGGTGCAGTGGCCTAATCTCGGCTCACTGCACCTCCATCTCCCAGGTTCAAGCGATTCTCCTGCCTCAGCCTCCCAGGTAGCTGGGACTACAGGTGTGTGCCACCATGCCCGGTTACTTTTTTGTATTTTTAGTAGAGACGGGGTTTCACCATGTTGGCCAGGCTGGTCACGAACTCCTGACCTCAGGCAATCTGCCTGCCTCAGCCTCCGAAAGTGGGGATTACTAAAATTTTAATACAGGTGATTCACATGGAAGGCTGAGATAAATGCAGGAAACAGAAAAATCTCAAGTCTTTCACTGGTATCTAAGAGAGTGTGACCTATTGAGAGCAGGATGCAAGACATTATTAGGTTGGTCAGATAGATGGCAACATTTCAATTCATAGGTTGGTAATATGGGCTAAGGATGCAATAGTTAGGAATCCAAGTTAAATAAAGACTTCAGTTTAAGCTGAAAATGAAGAGGAAAGTTCTAACACTTTCTAACACCAGAAATACATCTTTAGATAAGGTCAAAGGAAGGGCCAAAAGGTCAAAAGGAAACGTGGACAAAGAGGGGATAAGGAAGAGGAACTGGAGGTAAATTTCATCCACACTTTGGAATTCTGTTCAAGGTTGGCTCTGGTATTTGGGATGGAAGGGTTGCTTTGAATATTAAGAGAGAAATATAGTACAGGTAAATCCACTAGATTATAATTTCTATTATATCATTTCCTTAAGGAAGAAATGAGCTCACCCCTGCAATCTGCCATCTTGTGTATTTTCATATTAGACTATATATTTCAGAGATAAAAACAGGAAGTAAAATTTTTAAGTAAGAAGGATAATTTCCCAAGTAAAAACAGGAAAGATAAGGACAATAAGATTGTAAATTTTTAACTATTTTTTTTACTTTAATTACAACAGAAACCTGAATATATGCTTATAAATTTGTAAGTCAGTTTTTAGTTATTTAATAAATCTAATTAAGTAATCACAAATCAACTAACAAGATAGTTGAAGTCAGATATATGTATGTTTATATTTTTTTCTCAAAGTATGTTCTACTATGTTATTCATGAAGCATTTTGGGTTTTTTGAGTATTTAAATCAACTAATTTTTTATTTAGGTTTGTTTTGTCATTTATTTGCACTTTAACAAAAAACAAATCTTCTATTTCCCAGTTAAGTAAACATTTAAGTAATACAAATGAAAAAAAATAGAGTTCTGAGAAATATGCAATTGCGTAACAGAAGTCATATATGGGCTGACTCATAATTGCAAAGTAAAATCTCTGCAAAAGTCCTTAACAAGTGCATGTCTTTCATATTTAAAATACAGGCTGAGCATCCCTAATCCGAAAATCTGAAATCTGAAATGCTCCAAAATCTGAAATGTTTTGAACATGGACATGATGAGCAAAGGAAATGCTCATTGTAGTATTTCAGATTTCAGACTCTTGGATTAGGGGTACTCAACTGGTAAGTATATAATGCAAATATTCCAAAATCCGAAAAAAGCCTAAACTCCTAAATACTTCTGCTCCCAGATATTGTAGATAAAGGATATTCAAGCTATAATTAAAATGTTATGCATAATTTCCAAAATTCATCACTGTATGATACAATACACTTTACTGCTTACCTTTTATGAAAATGAAGGTAACATACAGATAAGAAGGAATTACAGATTTCTAAAAGATGGCGCTTTTTTCTACTCAGTTGACAACCAAAAGTTGCCCAGGCAAGAACATAACAATTGGCATTTACTAAGTGCTTATCATATATTACTACATGAAGTGGATTCTTTTTTTTTTCCATAAGTTATTGGGGTACAGGTGGTATTTGGTTACATGAATAAGTTCCTTTTTTTTTTTTTAAGATGGAGTTTTGCTCTTGTTGCCCAGGCTGGAGTGCAATGGCATAATCTCAGCTCACTGAGCTCACTGCAGCTACTGCCTCCTGGGTTCAAGTGATTTTCCTGCCTCAGCCTCCTGAGTAGGTGGGATTACAGGCACCCACCACCAAACCCAGCTAATTTTTTGTATTTTTACTACAGACAGGGTTTCACCATGTTGGCCAGGCTGGTCTTGAACTCCTGACCTCAGGTGATCTATACGAGTAAGTTCTTTAGTGGCGATTTGTGAGTTTTGGTGTACCCATCACCCAAGCAGCATACACTGCACCATATTTGCAGTCTTCTATCCCTCGCCCCTTTCCCACTCTTTCCTCCAAGACCCCAAAGTCCATTGCATCATTCTTGTTTTTTTGAGATGGAGTCTTGCTCTGTTGCCCAGGCTGGAGTGCAGTGTCATGATCTCAGCTCACTGCAGCCTCTGCCTTCCAGGTTAAAGTGATTCTCCTGCCTCAGCCTCTGGAGCACCTAGGATTACGGGTGCACACCACCATGCCCAGCTAATTTTTGTATTTTTATTAGAGACAGGGTTTCACCATGTGGGCCAGGCTGGTCTCAAACTCCTGACCTCAAGTGATCCACCCACCTCGTCCTCCCAAAGTTCTGGGATTACAGGTCTGAGCCACCATGCCTAGCCCATTGCATCATTCCTATGCCTTTGCACCCTCATAGCTTAGCTCCCACATATCAGGAGAACATACAATTTTTGGTTTTCCATTCTGGAGTTACTTCACTTAGAATAATAGTCTCCAATCTCATCCAGGTCACTGCAAATGCTGTTAATTCATTCCTTTTTATGGCTGCATAGTATTCCATTATATATATATATATATATATATATATATATATATATATATATATGCATTTTGGCACACAGTAAAACAAAGTATATTAGCTATTTAACAGGTGCAAATAGATATATTTGAAAGTATATTATCTATTTACCAGGTGCAAATAGATACATATGCATCAGATATATGCATATATATATGATGGAATAGTATGTATATAGTATATATGTATGATAGTGTGTGTATATAATATATATATGCACACCACAGTTTCTTTATCCACTCATTGATTGATGGGCATTTGGGTTGGCTCCATGATTTTGCAATTGTGAATTGTGCTGCTATAATATGTAGCAATTATAAGTGATTTGTCAACTTGTGCTGTTACTAAATGCATGATTAACAATAAAACACAGGCTTAACTCAACGGTATTATTTTTCTAACAAAATGATTAAACGTACACTAGTCCCCACACATGGACACGTACTACATGCAAACATCATCCATAAGATATGCAGTACACGTTCAAAAATATCTATTTGCACCTGTTAAATAGCTAATATACTTTCTGTTTTACTGTGTGCCAAAATAAAATTTTATCGTGAAAGAATAAGTGCTATGGGTATCAACTCATTTGAGGGTGTATTCTATTGTCCTCATTTCCAAAGTAAGACAACACATGTGCCTAAGCAAGCTATGTGTAATGAATACTTTTTGAGTACTGTGTAGCATGGTAGCAAAATTACTGGGTATCAGAACCTGTGAGTTCTAGCCTTTGCTCTACCACATGTTAGATTTGTGATATTAATGAAGTCATTTAATCGTTTGTAGCCTCTCTTCCCTCGCTTATGAAAAAAGGATAATGATATCTCTCCTATTTACTTTCCAGAGTTGATAGTCACATCAGATGAGCTAAATATACTTTAAGGCATTTGAAGATTATGAATTACTATGCGAAACATTATTATGTTTTAAACAAATATAAACAATTCCCATTAGTACAGTTAAGGCAAGGTCTGTTTCCTCTTACATATAGCCATTAAAACATTGAAATTAGTTTATTATTGTTTATTTGCTTTGTTGTATCTGTTGCAGAGTCTCCTTGTAATTTCCTATATGTCTGATGAGTTGCTAATCACAATATTAAATGGTGTTGGTTTTCAATGTTATTGTAAGTATTAGACTAATGTTCAAAATCAGGGCAGTATTATATATTAGTGCACTATCAAAGACAGTTAACAGGGAGTAATGTAGAATTAATGATTAAAACATGAAGAATTGCTACAATATTATATATATTGCTATATAATTTTATCTATTTTTATTAATTAAATAGTTATTGGTCAAGTCATATTTTTTATTGATCTAAATTCCAGGAACAATGAAGAGCCAGATCCTTAAGGGTTGACTTGGAGAGAAGGAACACCTTTTTATTTTTAATGTGTGTGTGTTTTTGCTCGGTTTGTTTTGTATCTCATTTCCATTTCTCCAAATCCCTATCCCCAACCATTTATTATGGCTTGGTCCAGATTCTAGAGCCAATGGTTTTTCATATTAAGCTAATGGATAATTAGATGGTGCAGGGATGAATTTCAGAGTTTATATAAGCCCTTTGAAAATGTATGCAAATATACTTTATATTTTATCTAAATGTATACTTTATATGTATTTGTAAATATGCTTTTTCTTTCTCCCCACCCCTTCCTTGGAGAGAAGGTTGATAAGTTTCATTTATTCTCAAAGGACCACATGAGATTAAAAACACTTGGAACTGTTGAGTTAGAGCTATTGGTACCAAAGTGAGCATCAGCTGGAGAAAGAAATTTTCCTTTTTTCCCCTTTTTCCCAACTATCCTACTTGTGTCCCAGACATTTGGATTGGGGTGGGAAGCAGAGAAGGAAGATTAGAGGGCCAGCCAGTGGGGAAAGGATGAGAAAATACCTCTATAATGGCTTTACCTTTTTTTTCTTTCCTTCTTTCTTGCTTTTTAACTCACTTTTTTCTCCTTTCTCCCTCCCTCCTCCCTTTCTGTTTCCTTCCTCCCTTCCTTCCTTTCTCCCTCACTTCCTTTCTTCTGTCCTTCCATCTTTCCTCCCTTCATCTCTCCTTCTTCCTTTTTCTTTTCAATATTTCTCTTCATAAGGTAAAATTTAATCAAGGACTTTTAATTAAGGGCCCATTTTATTTTAGTGCTGTGGCATATTCCTTTACTCATCTGCTTCTCATCACTTGATGCTGATTTTATTCATTTTATCACCATCCCAGTTTTGAGAATATCCTACTCTGTTCTGCAGAAGTACTAGTGCTCTGCAGAAGTTATTTCTGTAATAGAAAATCCATAGAAATCAGTGGGAAAAAAGGTAGTATCTATGCAAAACCTATTCCTTATCTTCGTTTTTAACATTTTGGGTCCCTACTTGAATATCATCATCTAAGCCAACATTTTTCCAATGAATAAAATAAAGAGACTAATTAATTTATGAATTATTTAAGATAGAAAATGGGTGAAATTAAGCTGTAATTCTTATATTTGCTGATATAATTCAGTTACTTTAGATATGTAGACAAGACCATCTCCAACTTCTATAGAGAATTGAAAAAGAACTCAGGTTACATTTTTAACCATCTTGAACAAGAACATCCTATTACCATAAAGAGGGAATAGCTCTCTTCACTTTTTCATTTCATCCAAGTATCTTTGTACCATTGTTTATTTTCTTTAGAGAGAATGAGTTTGGGAAAGAAAGAAAAAGGTGATTATGTTATCATGGATTTCTGTTGTCAGTTAAAAATGTTGCAAAGCAGTTTTCTTGTAGGGTTTGAATTTTCTAGTTGGATTGACTTGGCTGTCAGAAAGTCAAGTAGATCTTTCTTCTCCCAGATTAAATTGATAATTGGCTGAAATAAAATGTTAAGAACAATTAGTAGGGGTAGAATTTTAAAGCTATTTAACAGAGCAAACAAACTTCATAGGGCTATTTTGTGTGTGTTTTTTTAAACTTCTCCAGGGAACACATTGTATAACGCTATAACTTCCTGTTCCATGAAGTATTTCTTCATTGACCTACCTGCAGTAACAGCTTAGCTTATACACACACACACACACACACACACACACACACACACACACATTTCCATCCCACTATTGAATCCTTTTGAAGAAAAATCAAGGTACAGTCTCTTATTCATGCAAAAGCATTTAAGAGCACCTGTTTTAAAGATTAGAGCTTAATTCTTGCACTAGATGTTTTCAACTTCTTGTTTAAATATGGGAATGTTACTGTTTCTTGTCTTTCTTACCTGTCTACAGGCTTTTTTATCCGTTTCTGTGCCCATTTCAGATTGATAACACTCTCAATACCAGCTAGCCTTCTCATATTCCCTCTGCTGTTGTTTCTGCCCCTACCTTCTCTTACTCTTGCTTTGTTCAGTCCTCTCATGTTTCTCCATTCTTCATACTTAGAATTCTCTTTAACTTCTCATCTGGATGAATGCCTTTTAATTTTTATGTAGATTCAAACCCCATTTATTAGTAGTTTTCTTCTAAGTAGACAACCTCTTCTTTACCCAGAACTTCTCTTTGTAACCGTTTCATCCATATTAGGCTGTGTATTTTAAACAAACAAATAAAAATAAGTTGATATTTATCTTCCTTCTTAGTCAAAATGCTTCTTGGAGGTTGGGGACTCTTTCTTTGACGTGTTCTGTAGAGTATATTTCAGTTTGTCTTTTTAGTAAAGATGGCAACATCTCATTGGATTAGGAAAAATTGAAAACCATATGTTCCATGTAAAGAAATCATTTATTGTTTCGATATTTGTGCCACTCAAACACTGAATGCTTTATTTCTGCAAAAGCATATTGATTCGTTTTCTGCAATGAATCTTATATTTTTCAACCTTCTTAAACAATATATTCTGAACTTGATTTAGTCTTTACATGATGATTTCCTGATAATCATTATTGTATTAGTTTCCTAGGGCTGCCATAATAGAATATCATAAATTGGGTTGTTTAAACAACAGAGATTTATTGGATCACAGTTCTGGAAGCAAGAAGTCTGAGATCAAGCTATTAGAAGGGATGGTTCCTTATGAGGGTTGTGGGAGGGAATCTGTTTCATGCCTCTTGCTTAGTTTCTGGAGTTTATGGCAATCGTTGGAATTCCTTGACCTGTAAGGCATCTCCCTGATTTCTGCCTTCATCTTTAATATAGCATTCTCCCAGTGTATGTGTGCCCATGTCCAAATTTCCCCTTTCTCTACAGGCATAAGTCATACTTGAGTAGAGAACCACCTTACTCCATTACGACTGCATCTTAATTAGGGACCCTATTTCCAAATATGGTCATTTTCTGAGATACTTGGGGTTAGAAATTTAACATATGAATTTTGGGAGGGCACAATTAAACCCATAATAATTATGAACACTATTTTTTGTGCAGAGCTTTACCACAATGATTTCTGCAGGACTCAATAATAGAGATGTTTGCAAGCTGTACATAGTTCTTAGCTTTGCATACTTTTATTTCTCCCTCACCTCCTCTGTCTCCTCTTCATTCTGAGATAGAGCCATCATTTCTTACAGATATCATTGTACTTTCTTCCGAAAGTGTTTTCTTCCCATGTAATATGAATGGAGGGTCCAGATTACTGGTGTTACTGTGTATTAAAGAAGAATAAATTGGTTCCAAATTAAAGTCTCCTTGGTAAGTAATGATGTATTTGGGCAACAGCGTGTACCTTATGGCATTTCTTTTCATTTCCCAAGGGCTCTATTTTCCCTCTTCTGGGTTTTTGACTATGTTAACTTGAGATAACCCTATAAATGAATATAAGATTGCTGGATACTAAGGTACCAATATATTATTTTCTCCTTACAGAAAACTAAAGAAATATATCTCATAGAAATACTAGAAATTGGTGATCTTGTTTACTAATTGCTCAAGATTTTGCTCACTGATATAGGAAAATCACAGTTCCCTTTTGGGTACTATAAGATGTGAAATTGGATTTTTACAGTGTCTGTTAGACTTCCGTCATTCAATAAACATAATACTAGAGCAGAATTGAGTTGAAATCAAATGTTGTGAGTGGGTAAGGTAATGTGCACATCCAGTTCTCAGCAGGTGGTTCTAAGCAGGATGCGGGGCCTGCACCCCAAGCTGCTAACCTATCAAGGGTAGCCCATGTGGTTCTGAGGGCACCGTGCTGATGAGCACCCACTGTGGTTCTGATTTTGGCAGCCACGGCTGAATCGAGTCTTTGATCTTTGGAGTGACTTCTGCCACAGTGAGCATATCTGTTTGTTTTGCCCCTCCCTTTGGTCATTATTCCAACCTGGCAGTACAGGACAAAAAAAAAAAAAAAGAGAGAGAGAGAGAGGTAGAAGGGGGTTGTGAGAGGATACTTCAGGAACATGGCTGTACCAAGTATGAAAAAGCTGCTTAAAAATTCTGGCTCTGAAAGCTCATGCATAACATTTTTGCTGACTCATTAATGAATACATTTTATTTTATGTGTCATTCAACAGCCTGCTAAAAATCACTTTTTCTGATTATATTTTCTCATTACTGGGGTTTTGAATCCATCATAAAATGCAGCCAGCCACACAAAGAAAAGGCAGTCCTGCTCCCTGTCTTTTAATAGTCTTCCTTCATAAGTGTCTGAATATGCTTGAAAACATTTACTTCTTACGCTTTGATATTTTAAAATCAATTCCTCTAATATATTTGAAAATCAGCTTCAGAGGTTTGATTACATTTTAATTTTATTTATTTATTTTTAATTGAAAAATAATTATGTATTTTTATGGGGTACAATGTGATATTTTGATCTGTGTATGCATTTTAGAAATATTTAATCAAGCCAATTAATATATTCATCACCTCACTTGCATGTATGACATTTTGTTGAAATCTTTCAACAGATTTTGTAATAATCTCTATTTATTCCAATATACTGTTTAATGAAAAACATAAAGATGACTATTCTCATTTTATAGCTGAAAAAAATGGAGACACTGAGGTACTATATATGCTATTTAAGGTTGTAGCAGAGTTAGTGTCATTCTAACAATTTAAGTTTTCATTCTTATATTTGGGGATTTCTATATTCTATGTTCTATGCATATGTTCTATGCAATGATCAAAACACTTGATCCACATTATCTTAATAATATCATTGAGGTATCATAGATAAAAAGTAAACTGAGACATAGAAAAGCATTAAATTACTTGTAGCAAATCTCATAGCAAGGTCACAGGGAAGCTGATACAATCTTGGACTTCTTCTTATGGACTAGCCATGACTAGTTTTCTGACAAGAAACATTTTTCTCCTTTTGAGAATGTGAAGGTCGAAGATTTCCACTGAGAAAGCAATGCCTTAAAGTACTCTGAGAAAACTTTAGATTTTTAACTCTCAACCAAATATACAGCCCATTATATTGATCATCACTTAACAAGTTTAAAATACGTGAGTTCTAAACTTCTTGTTTAGAAAAACTGGGATTAAGTCACCTTTTTATTCCTTCATTATCTAGGTCTCACTAAGTAAAACATTTTAAGGTGTCAGGTATTTATATAAAGTATGTGAAAATATATAAGTTTAGGAATTAGAATGTATGTGAAATTTATTTGGGAAAAATAGCATCTACTTTGAAATGTGTCTGTCATAACTTCTGTTTGTCATCATTTTCAATTAGAAGACAAGGTTTTCCTATATAAGGCTAGAGACTCAGACAGCCAGTAAGGAAGGAGGGACCAAACAGGCTAAAATTTTACTAAGTTGTAACCAATCCAGGTATCATGAAGAAAGAGTACGTGAAGTTGTCTTCTATACTTTTAACTTCTATGAATTAGGATTTTCATTTGAGAAATAAACAGATTCTAGAACGCCCTGGCTTCCCAGGAGGTGCCACTAGGTTAGTATGGCTCAGACGGATGCTCATTAACTCATCTGCTGGTTTTCCCATACAAAATATCTCAGCCAATATCCATAGAATAAACACCAATAATTGAGGGTCCAGGCAGTCCTTTATCCCAAATCAGAAACTTTACTTACACACACAAGCAAATGAAGAGAGCCTCCTTGCAGCTCCTCCATAAAGAAATACCACCATTTCATCTAGAACCAGCTTTATCACCAAAAATAAATGTTCTGTTTCATGGATATTTGTGCCATAGTTTAGGTCAAGAATTATGGGTGGCTGGACTTAGTCAATGTCAAGAGAGAAGAAAGAATGTGGAGAGGGCATCAGAGTGCCCGGAGTTGGCAAATGCTGGCAGTTAGCTGTAAAGTTAGCAGCATGGGATTATTTGAAAAGAGCATATGATTATACTGAGTGGTGGCTTCCCCAGTGAGTACCAAATAAGCTTTTTCATCTACATTAAATACAATGTAATATTGTATTAATCACTTGGAAAAACAAGAATTTTTTCTATTATTAACTGGTGAGTTCCTGTGTCATCTATCTCTATTTTGTCTGTCAGCTCTGCTTTCTTAAACACAACCAGTTCAACTATATTATTAACATCTTCAAAGGAAAACCCTCCCAGACTACCAAGGCTAATTTGCTTTAGCTAAGATTTATTTACATTTATTGTCTAAGATAGGCTTCAATAATATATGGTCATTTGGTCCAGAAACAGTAAGTCTTAGTTGTATGTGGTAATCTTTAACTCTGAATACTTCAAATGCCATATATTTTACACCTATTCTGGGCTAGATTTTGTGCTATGCACATTAAGCATATCATTTTCTTTCTTTTTTTTTTTTCTTTTTTTTTGAGATGGAGTCTGGCTCTGTCACCCAGGCCAGAGTGCAGTGGCATGATCTCGGCTCACTGGAACCTCCATCTCCCAGGTTCAGGCGATTCTCCTACCTCAGCCCCCCAAGTAGATGGGATTACAGCTTTCTGCCACCACCCCATCTAGTTTTTGTATTTTTATTAGAGACAGGATTTCACCATGTTGGCCAGGCTGGTCTCGAACTCCTGACTTCAGGTGATCCACCCAGCTCAGCCTCCCAAAGTGCTGGGAATACAGTCTTGAGCCACCGTGCCCGGACTTATTTTCTTTAATTTTCACAACATAAACATTACTTGTGACTGTGTAACTATAAAGTAATAAATCTGATTTTTGGTGGACATTAGTTGCCCTGGTCTCATTGTGTAGAATGAATTCACATAGTGTATATCTAGCTTCTCTACTTGTGAGTTTCATAATATACTAAATGGAGGTGGTAATAGTACCTAACATATAATGTTACTGTGGGAATTAAATGAGATACTATATGTAAAGTCCTTAGATTAGTCCCTAGCATATAGTCAGCACTCAATGAATGTTAACTATTATTATGTGTAAGCATTGTGGGAATAAAAATCAAACATTTACTGATAAGTGCTCAGTATATAGTAGGAGCTCAATACATACATATTTAATGAATTAATAAACTTTGTAAATTCTTTAAATGGCTAGATGTTACTGAACTATGGTAAATAGTATTCTGGCTGTTGCCTTACACTGTTAAATATAATATAAAGCAAAATGTTAAATAACACCAAGAATTCTGTATAGTTTCTAGGAGTATTTACTATCTATGAAAGAGCTTTTTGGGGGTTTAGGAGTATTATTTCCTTTCTCATTTAACATTTGCACTCTTAGTCCCATATAGCATGTGCTATCTGACTAGAAGTAGATGTGTGACCACAAAATGGACACAGATTTTTCCCCTTCCTTTAACAGTCATGCAAATATGATTTATCTTATGGTACAGTGAAAACAGAAGCAGTAGAAGCCTGCCCATAGTAAAAGAAGATAAATAGGCAAGAAAACACAGAAAGGCAGTGTGTGTCAAGCATGTTTCATGTTTGCCTCAGAGAACTGAAACACACAAAGTGAGAAAGACATGTATGTTACTATGTGCCAGTGCTAGAGATGCTGCATGCTTTTTTGATGATATCAAGACATTATAGTTTTGGGGAACATTTGTTTCTTAATAAGTTTATTTTTAAATCCTGCAATATTTACCATCTGAAACATTTATCTGAAATTGTCATGTATTAAATCCCATCTTTTCTAGAACTGGTGCTCTGCTTCTAGTAACAGTTTGAGAAAGGGTTCAAAGGTTTGCCTCTCCCTAGAATGTTCTTCTCACCACTGGTACTTCTACCCAACCTTTACAAATAGTTGATGCATCACTTCTAGGAGGCCCATCCTACATGTTTATGTATATTTGTGTCATTGCTCTGGCTATATTGTATTACAGTTTTCAGTTGAGATGTGTGTTTTCTCTTTTAGAGTCTGGTGACTAAATTGTGAGCTTCTTGAATAACGAGGCTGTGCTTTACTTATCTCCAATATTATTCAGTTCCTGAAATAGAGTAGATGCTCAATAAATATGTATCCAATAAATTAATAAATTTGCAGTCTCAAACACAGGCATATATTCTTATATAAGATTAAGGACATTAATAAAATTTTTTTATTTGTATGTTCCTAAAGTGATTGTGAATCTTTGGAAATTGTTTATGAACATATTAATATGTTTCTTAGTGCTCTAGTCACTTTGAGGGAAATTTTTTAATCTTTGAAAAACATATTTTTTAATCTCTGTATATTCTTTTTTACCCCGAGCATTACTTTTGCATAATGGACTCAAGTGTGTTGTCAATTACTGATTATTTGGTTGAGCCACACAGAAACTGTTAGAAATCCTTATTTTTATTTGCACACTATCTGTTTGGTGGCTTTGTTCAAGCCCATGGATTGTCAGTTAAATGGAAAAGTCTTACTTTCAAGCAAAATTCTCAGCATTTAATACAGTGTGTAGCATATATTTGGGAGTCAATAAATGTTCATAGAATGCATGAACAAATCAGTCATTGTTGCAAACTGATTTGAGGATGAGGTATGAGATTTTTTTTTTAAGGCTAAATGAAATGCCCAGTATCACATAGCAGGATAAGAGAAAATCTGACACTCATAACTCATACTTCTGTGTTTCCAGACTGTTACCCAAGCTCACTGAGAAGTGCAGTATATGTCTGATTTCTCAACTTCACCCTGCAGTAAACTTTTGCAATCCAGAGGCTAGAGACCTCTTTTGTGAATGTTGTCTGCCCAATGACTGTGTTGGCACCAGGGAGTCCCTAGCAGATAAAGTGGAGGAACATATGGTTTCCATCTGAATACAAATTGGTGGACATAACGTGGTAATTCAACTGAGATGTCCTCTATATTGTAAACTGAAAGAGTATGATTAGAGGTGTTTATAAACGGCATCTGAATTCCCCCACACCCCTCCCCATCCCCTTTCCACTGTAGTTTTATCTGTCTGAATCATAGCAATCTAGCCTCCCAGCCTCACTGCATTATTTGTGAAAATGGCCAGTGTGAGGAATTATTAATTAAAGCTAACAAATCACCCTGACAAGCTGTGCCCTGGCATGGCTGAAGGTTGATTGGCGAAAGTCTTCTCCTTTGGAGAAAAGACTTTTTGTGCTCGTGACGCAGTCAGGGACGGATTATTGAATATGCAAGTTAGAAGAAAAATCACAGGACAAGCAAATTGAGTATTTACTGGCAAATAATTGCACTCTTAAGCTGTGGCTCTCTTCCTAAATTCTTAACATTCTCGAGGGTTAGAAAGAAACACAGAAAAATGCATCGGTACAGAGTACATTTCAAAAAAAATACATAGACTGATGTTTCAGACTTGTGCAGGTAAGTGTGATTGTGTGTGCATGGAAAGTGAAAGAACAAGGGAAAGCAAAGGAAAGATAAGGGAAAAAGCATAACTGTTAGTCTGGTGAGTTTTTAAAATCAACTTGTTTATTGGAGCTCAGCGTATTTCTGAGTTGGAAATTTAGTTTCAGTGCTGCATTTATTGTGAAAGTTAGAGACGTGAGAATGAGAGAGGATTTTCTCAAAGTTGTTTGTCTTTATTAGCAGAAGAATATGTTAATGTTTTGTCCCAATAGTAATTATAAATTTTGTTCAGATATTTGTGGATATATGTGTAAAATTATCACTTGATTTAAAGATCTTTAGTTATTTTCAACATTGTTGATTATGACACGTCATACAGTGTTTCGAACATATTTGGGTACAACTATTGCATTTATTTTTAAAAGTAAACACTGTTTTCATTAGGACCAAGCTAATCCTTATTGAGAATTTCTAAAGGGACATTATAGTTTTGGAATACTTAAACTTCAGACGTCTATAATAACTAAAGTGTCCTTATTGTCAATTGTGTGGTCTTTTTATCTGTAATGTTAATCAGACTGCTAAGTTTTGTGGACATCGTAAGACAGGAGAGACTAGTTCAGAGGTCTTTCAGGAATAAATTTAAATACATAGAAATATGAGTGTGCAAATGAAGGTTAATTCCATGTATAAAATATAGACATTAAGAAACAGAGATACTCTTACAAGTACAGCTAGGTTATGTGAGCAACATTACCAGAATATATATATCCATTGCAGATGAATTGCATATTCTGTGATAACCTGGAAAATGCGCTTTCATCGACAACAAACTGTTTTTGAAATGAAAGTAAGTGACTGGAAAAATAGTGCTTTTGGCTTTTAATAACTATGAAAAACATTGATTTAAAACAAAGGCATAATCATAATTTAAACTAAATTAACTAATTAATAATTGCAAGATGTTTTAACAATATAACATCTACATGATACTAGTAATAGGAATAATAATAAAAATGGAAAATCTGGTAATCACACAGAAATTAATCAGATGACTCTCATGTTTTAGAAAATCAGAATTTTAAAATATAAATAAATAAAACATATGTTGCCTTCTAATCTATTCCTTGAGCCAAGTAATATTGTATTGGTTAGGATTTTTCTCTTACTATATCCTATTTTATTAAAAAATGTAATTTGTCTTGGTATAGGGAATAGAGCTCATAAGAAAGTTTAGAAAATATATTTTTTAAAGGTTTAATTCCCACTGGATCACATTCTGTCCTCAGATTTCAAGAGGCAGCCTCCTTAAAGTTTCCTGTGACTATTTGAGGGCAAAATTTGGTCCATTATTTAGAAATAGCAAAGGGGGCATTTAAAGCATATGTTCAGAGACTTAACCATCTGCCTGCTTTATTATGAATACCACAGAGTTATGAGAAATTGGAAGGACTCAAAAATTGAACCAGAGTTCTATGCAAGATTTTAAAAATACAGCACTCTGATTTTTAAAAAAATGTTTTGCAACCACCTACTTTTGCTAAGTATATCTTATTAGTCCTCTATGTAAGAATAGTATTATTCCACCTTTTTGACGTATGGTAAGTGAATGGCAAAGTATAGTTGAGTGACATGAACCTATAGAAAGTTAAGCATAATCCTTTCTCTCTGATTTAACCCACTAAATATGAATACCTGTGGAGTTTTAGACTTGTCATCAGTGAAACTCACAGTGACTTAGAGAAACACTATAAAATGGTGACTGCTGGAACAAAAATGAAGTCCAGCTGCTAGTTTCTGGGCTGTCTACAAATGAGTTGCAAGAGACATGCGGAGGCCAGACTAAAGAGCCCTTCTGTAATCCAACTGTGATGTAATGAAAGTATGAATCAGCTATTGGTTGCCCATGCTGAGGGGAAAAGCAACAAAATATTTTTTTAAAGTGAAAATTGACATTATTCCCAGGTGGTACTGTATTCCTTTGGTATCTGGAAGGATATGAGATTCAGAAATTAATAAAAGAACAAAAATCATATTTAAGTCCCAAGCATAGTAATATTTCACCTAGAGTGGTCGTATAAGGACATATCAATATGAATATAATTGTTAAAATGTCTAATACTCAATTAGAGTTCTTCCACATTACCTGAGTTTTACTAGAATCAGACTGAGACTGGCTGGATCATTCTCAGAGGAAAATATGCAAAGTAGACTAAACTTAGCCTGAATACAAGTTTTTGGTGTTGAGATGACTATCACTCTTTGTTGCTTAATGAAAAGTATTTACTTAAAAGAAAATAATACTGGAAGCAAAGGACTGAAATATTTGGTTTGAAGACTCTAAGTAAAAAATGTATGTGTATGTATCATGTATACTTCTATATTTGTTTACATAAAAATGTTTTCAGAAATATACACTTTATTAGGCTGATTAAGCCAAAACTTTTTTGTGTGTGTAATCGAAAGACTGAACACAAAAATTTTAAAACAGAACTGAAAGATGTCAGTCAGAACTGAATTAATGACCTGGGGCTGAAAATACCTATGTCAAATTTCATATGGATTTTTTCATGGTGGTATTTTAATTTTATATCTCCCTAAATGGAAGTGCTGCAGTCAAGTGAATCTATAGCCCAAAGAATAATGAAATATGTCAATTATTTTAGGTGGTTAGTTTTTATTTTTTATTTTGAGTACATGCGATGTAAATACCAAATACACATACATACATATGTTTTTGTTTTGTTTATTTGTCTTATTTACTATTTATTGCACCAATAAGGGAATTAAAATGGCTGACAATGAAAAAATAAACATAAATACATGATTGCAGCAAAATACATGAATTAGAAATAGGTAAGAAAAATAAAACAATAAAGGAAAGGATATAAAAATGGAGTTAGAAGTGAGGTCAGCATAAAACTATATTCAGTGAAGTGCTATACAGTTGCCTTTAAACTTTCTTGCAGCAAAGTTAAAGAGAAAAGCTTGTTACACAGTTTGTAACATCCATAAGCATAAGAAAATAATTTTCATTATTTGTCTTGAAAATGGCTTTTGAAAACAGCTCTTAGTTTTCCAAGAAATCAATGCTAAAGCAACTCCCACTGTAAAGAATTGAAGGCTGCAGATACCTAAAGGTCAGGTCGGAAGCAGAAGCAGTACCTTCCCTGGGACATGGATGTGGAAGTAGACCAAAGTAATCCCCTTTTAATCCCAGGGCATGTGTTTCTAGAGAGAGAAAAAAAGGACACCATTAACGCAGTAATGTTGGCAAGCTAAAAATGTGTGGAAAGTAGGGAGTTAAGGGGGGAATTTAAAAAAAAAATTTCATGTAAATAAATACATATATATTTTAGCAGCAAATCAAAGATTAGAAGGCATTCACTTTTATAATAACCATTAAAACATGTTATCAAATAAACCTCTTGAATCAATGTTGCTTTCCTAAATTGTTCATAAAACACTTCTGTACTGCTGCCATTCTTCTTCCACTTTTACTTTAAGCAGATTGTCAGTCTCTTTGAAGTTTTAAAAAGAGTCATTTCTGGCTTGAAATTTAATATTTCTCGCCCTTATGTCCTCCCTTGGTTCATTTTGAGAAGTCTTAGCAAATTGCCTATTCTTTTCACGGGTAATTTTGATAGTTAAGTCACATTTAATAGGCTAGTCTCTTCTCTTCGTATTGAAAAGGTGAACTGTATAGATTTATTATTATATTACCTTGTAGCCTAGTCCATGGTAAGTAGTCCAAGGACCAACTGTATCAGGATTACCTAGGGATTACCTATATCAGGATTATCTAGAGCACCTGTTAAAATGGAGATTCCTGAACCCCATTCCAGAATTTCTAAATCAGAAGCTCTGAGAATGTAGCCTGGATCTGCAGTTTAGGAAACTGCCCAGGTTAGTTGTGCATAATAAAGTTTGAAGTCCACTATTTTAAAATTGTGACTTTAAACATTTCTAGTATATGAGTGTAAAATAGTAGGATTTCTCTACAACAATCAATGAGGGTTTATTATACTGTATTAACACTAACTAAAACACTAATACATACTCAATAATATGTGATTGCCTGCTCATAAATCTAGAAACACCTAGATTAGACAAAACTCTGAATTTGTTTGAACCCCTTTAAGCCATATCTCACCATTTTAAAAATATTATTTAATTTTTAAGCTATCATTTATTAAGAACTACTATATACAAAGTCATATGTTGAGTCTGGGCACTAGAGATAAAAAGATGAATAAAAGAGTTTCTTGTCTGAAAAAAACTCATAACTAGAATAATTATGTTATTACTAGGATATTTTCTTATCCATACTAGGATAACTATGAATTGCCACATAATCTACTCTTTAAGTAAAACTCAAGGTTCCATATGGTATTATATCACTAAGTATACAGTTGTTGGTAGCAATTTTATAGAATAGGACCCTACTACAATTTGGAAGCTGCAAAACATAAGAAAACCCTGTAGGGTCTTCCTCCTCCCCACAGTGGGAGATTTTATCTCCCAAAACTAGGATGAGAGGGTATCATGGGGTCCTCCTGATTCCATTTCTCTCATCATTAATCAGTGATTTGTTGCCAGGATCCTTTTTGAGAAGAGAAGAGAAATGTGTGTGAGTGAATATACCAGACATTCTGAGAACTTGCATGTCTCTTTCTCCCCTTCCCTTCTGGTGGCTCAGCTGGCCTGTAAAAGATGCTGGAGCCTAAATGGCAGTGGCCTCCCCAGTTCGCAGGTGAGGCACAGTATGAAGGGGCCCAAGCACCTCTCACGTGGCACTCTTTGCTCCACAAGTTACAGCAGCGCCAGAAATTGAGTATCAACAGGCTAGAAAGGATGTATTGCACATAAAGGAATTAATTAGGTAGTGGTCTGAGGAACATGACAAGAGCTTGCAGTTTCATTGGTGATTGAAGTTTTCCTGGAAACCTTTTGGGAACACCTTTCCCCTTTGTTTCCAGAAAAATATAAGAAATACAGTGGAAACATCTATACCTTTTTCCTTCTTTTCGACATATATTTATTGAGGATGTAATGCCATGCCTTCTTTTATGGACTAGGGATACTGTAGTGAATAAAATAAAGTTTCTACTTTCATGAAGTTTATATTATAATGGGGTAGGAAAGGAACAAAATTACTTAATATAAAATATAAATGTGGCTGGGTGTGGTAGCTCACGCCTGTAATCTCAGCACTTTGGAAGGCCAAGGCGGGCAGATCACCTGAGGTCAGGAGTTTGAGACCAGCCTGGCCATCATGGCAAAACCCCGTCTCTATTAAAAATGCAAAATTAGCTGGGCGTGGTAGCACATGCCTGTAATCAAAGCTACTTGGGTGGCTGAAGCAGGAGAATCGCTTGAACTCGGGAGGCGGAGGTTGCAGTGAGCTGAGATCGCTCCATTGCACTCCAGCCTGGGGAACAAAGCGAAACTCTGTCTCAAAAAAAAAAGTGTGTGTGTATATATATATATATATATACGTGTGTGTATATATATACATACATGTATGTGTATATACATTATATATACATTATATATAATGTATACATATATACATTATATATACAGGTATACATATATACATTATATATACAGGTATACATATATACATTATATATACAGGTATACATATATACATTATATACAGGTATACATATATACATTATATATATAAAAAATATGCTTCATTTTTTAGAAATTGCCTCCTGTGTTCCCCATTACTTCTAATTATCCTCATATTATTTCATAATGTGTATGTATGTGTGTGTGTGTGTATTCCTTGATGCATTTGTAAAATCCTCCAGAGAAGAGACCAGTAAATTCAAGACACTTCTTGTGGGAAACTTCTTTCCATGGGGACCTGCACATAATGTAAGGGGAGAAACAAGTCATCTGCAAATACCAAGAGTGTGCATTGTCAACCCTAAAATAATTCTTTTTCATCTTTTGTGCTTGTTCTGGTGTATGTGTGTTCTGGGTTTTTTCATTGAACTGAGTGGTAGGCACTCAAGATGCTTAGAGCTCTAAGAGGTAGATAAGTAATGGGGTCAATCTTCAAGGGACTTCACATAAAGCAGAGAAGACTGATAATTAACAATAGTATGTGGCCTTCATAAGGTTCTGAGGCAGACAGAGTAAGGAGTACTGTCCTTCAAAAGGTCAGAGAGTACAGCAACAGGAAAGGCTTCCCAGCAGGAGTTATGTTTTAACTGAGACTAACAACCTAATTGTAAAACAAAACAAAAACATTTTTTAAGTAAAGTCCTGAATTTCCCCTTGATCACCTAAGTAATGTGCCCATGTTGAAAATATTTCAGACAATAGGAAAAAGTATTTTTTAAAGAAAGTAAAATCACCACTTAGAGAAACCATTGTTAACATTCATCAGATACTTTTTTGAGCATGTATTATGTCCTAAGGTTATGCCAACTGGCTACAGCTTCTCAGAAGGGAGCATTTTAATTGGCAGATAGTGTGAATAGCACTAATTCAAACCTTAACTCATTTCAGCTGTCTTCAGATTTGGCTTACAGACCAAATGGGCCCCAACCCTAATAAGGTAGATAAAACAACACAAATGGAGTATTCTCTTGAACAAACACCATAGCACCTGCTATATCCCCCACCTAGAGTAGATAGATACGAGAGTCAGATTCCTTGGGTTCCAATCCTGACTTGTACCTCTTTTCTATCTGTGTGATCTTTACCAAATTATTGGATTTCTATATCTCAATGTGCTTTTCTGTTAAATTGGATTTACGGTACTTACCTCATGTAATATTTTGAGAAATTAATAAGATAATACATGTAAAGTGCTAATCACAGTACCTGGCACATAGTAGAGTTCAATAAATGCTATCTATTATTTATTGGTGATTACTAGTATTATTACTACTATTATAGTTATTTTTATTACCAGAGAAACTTGCTGAAAATATATTTTGTCCAGTACAACTCCATTATTATTACTAACAAAACAATTCAAAACACATTTCTTACTGAGAGCGGGTCAGAGATATTATCTTTCCAACACACATTAAGAATCTGGATTTTATAGATGAAAATTGTAATACGATTTAGCTCAGTAGATAAATGACATTATGTGGACTAAATTTCTGTTTCTAGATAGAAATAATGTCTAAATGTGCCTTAAATGCCCTTCATGTCACATATTTTGTTGCAACAATTTGTGATTAACTTGGTTTGTTTTATTAAAAGAAACTTGTAAATCCAACGCTCTTATGTTTTCCAGATAGTGCCACCTTTCTTTATTCAATCAGTGATGGAAAATGATAAGAAATACAGTTTTACCTAAAGAGGGTATTTTCAGGAAGGAAGAGATTCTAATGGTCAGATCTGTGATTTAGCATAATAGCAAACAAAGATAACTATCCTAGCAGGTGCCACATAGTAGGTGACTAAAGAATCTTTATTGAATTGAAGTATATTTTGTAAGAAAAAGCATACGTCAATCCAGGTGTTACGTGGAAGTTTAAGTGATTTTAAGAGAATGCACAAATTATATGCTCATGGACAAGTTACTTTTTGTGACTAAATCTTCAAATGGAAAATAAACCAATAATATCTTCATTACATGGTGAGTGTGTATAGTCCTTGGTAGAGTTCTTGGAACATAATAGGTACTTGATAACTGATACCTGCGAACAACAGAAATAACCACAACAATAATAACACATAAAAGTCCTGTGTATAATGGCTATAAGCTCATTAATATATAACACATATGATTTGTATGTATTGATATATAAATAATAACATTTTAAATTGCTTTGCTAATGTTTGACACACAGTAGGAACTTGGTATAAATTTGATCTATTTAAATACCCTCATAAAAAGATTGCTTTAGTTATTTTAGTTAAATGAAAATGCAGTTCAAAAATCTAAAACTAACTTAATCCTTTGGAAAATGACAATAAAAGCAAAAGCTACCTAAGGATATCTTACTGAAATGGTCAAATAATTTGGCCTCAATGCAAATGAATAGCAGGAATACCACTCTGCTTCAAAGAGTAGACAAAGGGAATTAACTTGGAAAACTCTTAGGTGACCCCTATTTTGAATCTTATTAATTGGAAGCATTTTAAAGCTCAAAAGGCTGTTATTGCTAGTTACAGTGGTAGCTACATATGGAAAATGGCTGCAGAGATTCACAATACAAAAATAGTCCATTGCTAAATTCAAAATTCTGTTAATGTCACAAACAGTGGGACGTGAAACACAAATGAATTGTGATGACAGTTGAGTACCAAGCTGCCTATTTTTTCCCCCTCAGAGCTGCCCATATTTGGCTTTATATTTTCCTCAGTCCTGATTTAACCCATAAATATTTGTATTTTCTGCAGCTAGCCTCACCTTGGATCGTACTACTTAAGCATTTTCTTCCTAAGTGTTTCTCAATTCCTAGGAATTCTGCTTTACTGCTTTTCTTCCTACAGATAAGCATTTTAAAATATTTCTTTACCTATTGCTTTAGAGTCAGATTTTGAATCTTTTTTCACCTACAGTCCGATGAGGCTCAGTGTTGCTCTTTACTCTCCCATTTCTCCTCAGTGTTTAAAGTGTAACCTGCAGGCTAGGGCCTATTTCTTCTCCGTGTTGCTTTGACTTGGTACTTGCTGTCATCCTGATCATCTGCATTTATTTGCTACCATCATTTTTTAAAAACTGGTTTTTTAAATGTCACTCTTATCCTTTATGATAGAAGGTCTTTATGATCCGGATTTGGGGAGCAAGACTTATTTTATGAACCCACTAAACTCTCTTATAAATGCAGCAGTTCCACATAACCATAAGCTAGCTTGACCTTTGGGAAATGTCATTAAAAAATCTCTAAAGAGTATTGCTAAAATGACCAAATTATTTAGGCTTAATAGATTTTGTAGCATGGATACCAGACCTACTCACAGAGCAACAGTCCTGGCTGAATATATTTTATCTGGGTTTTACTGCATGTGGTGATTTGGCTGCCATGTATTGAGTGACCTCTCTGTGCCAAGCATTTTACATTTAATTCTTAAAACAATTTTGTGAGATGGGTACCATTATCTTCATTTAATAGGTAAGAAAATCTTGACCTAGAGAGGCTAAATGACTTGTTAAAAGGTGGAAATGGGATACAAACCAAAGTTTCTAAGACTAACGTTCATCCTTTCTCCATTTCCACATGCTTGTGCCTGGTTATATATTTACATTATTGGTAATGGGAAAGAAGTTTATAGTATAATTCACTTGGAGGCATAGCCAATTTATTCCTTCCTTCCTTCCTTCCTTCCTTCCTTCCTTCCTTCCTTCCTTCCTTCCTTTTCTTTCTTTCTTTCTTTGATGGAGTCACGGACTGTTGCCTGGGTTGGAGTGCAATGGTGCGATCTCGGCTCACTGCAAGCTCCGCCTCCTGGGTTCAAGTGATTCTCTTGCCTCTGCCTCCCAAGTAGCCAGGATTACAGGTATCCACCGCCACACCCAGCTACTTTTTTGTATTTTTAGTAGCGACGGGGTTTCACTATGTTGGCCAGGCTGGTCTCAAATTCCTGACCTTGTGATCCGCCCACCTTGGCCTCCCAAAGTTCATGGATTACAGGCTTGAGCCACCGCACCCAGCTGCCAATTTCTTTAAAACAAAGTGTTGGTGAGATTTTGCTATGTTGTCATGTTATAGAACTATGAATCCAAGGCTATAGATTGACTAGATCTCCAGTAGCAAAAGGTACATAAGTATAGGCAACATCCTTTGATTTTCCCTTTGGTTTTGGAGGACATGTTATTGTCAGTTTTGAAGAAACTACAACTTAATATGTGTGGCTTATGTACTAGGCATTCCTGACTTCTCATCGAGTGCCTCCTGTGACTTGTCCTACCTTTTCCTCCAAAACTAAAATCTAATTATTCTTAACAAACATATCCTGTAGGCCTTTTTCCCACCAAGTTTTCTGAAGAATTGTTTTTATTATAATTATTTAGTGCTTTATTAAAGTGGGCAATTAAAGCATTTTAAATGCCTCCATCATCAATCTATATGTTTATCTTATGAGGCATTAACACCACTTTACTTTTATACAGCACTTTGCAGTTTACAGCTTGAAACATGTATACCCCAAAAATAGCACATTGCCTTTTCATCAGAATAGGGATATCTAATTTAACAATAGTCACCACATACAGTGAAGCAGTGAGAAGACTGGCCTTCAAACCAGTAATCTTCATTTTCTACAGAAGTGCCCAAGCCTGGCTTTCCTCTTTGCCTTTATGCAGTTGGACCATTGAGTTCACCAGATTGCACCCCAAACTCCATTATTTTGCTTTGAGCAAGGACTGAGAGTTAGTGTAGACTAGTTAGTAACTTTGCCACAACAGGTTTACTTTTACTTTATTTGTGTCAGAACCTCTAAAAGGATCTCGTGAAAATTTCCTGGAATTTAGAGTGAAATTTTAGCTAGAAAGAAAGAGAAAGAGAGAGAGAGAAAGAGGAAGCTACAACAAAGCCAAAAGAAAGAAAGAGAGAGAGAGAGAGAGAGAGAGAGAAAAGAAAGAAAGAAAGAAGAAAGAAAGAAAGAAAGAAAGAAAGAAAGAAAGAAAGAAAGAAAGAAAGAAAGAAGCTACAACAAAAACCCCAGAACCATCTTTTTTCAAATAGTCCCTTGAAAAGAAAACTATAAAAAATTTATGTTAAGATTCTGGGTCTTTGAATTACTCATCATGAGCACTTTTCCTGGGCAGTATCTCCCATGTTCACCCTTCCTCTGGTCACATTGAATGTTCAATTTCCTTTTCTCACTCTGACAGTTACCAATGTTGATATGTCTTCATTATTATTTATTACTTTAAATTTAAAGCAGAGTAGTTTTTTTCTCACTTTTTGAAAATTCAATAAGTTTTATTGTGTATGTATCAAAAGTCACTATATAACTGTGCTCTCAATCTTGGTTTTTTTTTTTTTTTTTTTTTTTTTTTTTTTTTTGAGACGGAGTCTCGCTGTCGCCCAGGCTGGAGTGCAGTGGCGCAATCTCGGCTCACTGCAGGCTCCGCCCCCTGGGGTTCACGCCATTCTCCTGCCTCAGCCTCCCGAGTAGCTGGGACTACAGGCGCCCGCCACCTCGCCCGGCTAATTTTTTGTATTTTTAGTAGAGACGGGGTTTCACCGTGTTAGCCAGGATGGTCTCGATCTCCTGACCTCGTGATCCGCCCGCCTCGGCCTCCCAAAGTGCTGGGATTACAGGCGTGAGCCACCGCGCCCGGCCTCAATCTTGTTTTTTAAACAAATGAATATTGCTGTATTTTAAAAATATGAACGTCATTTTATTTTATTTTATTGAGACAGAATCTTGCTCTGTCACCCAGGCTGGAGTGTAGTGGCTCAGTCTTTGCTCACTGCAACCTCCATCTCCTGGGTTCAAGCAATTCTCCTGCCTCAGCCTCCCGAACTGGGATTACAGGTGTGTACCACCATGCCTGGCTAATTTTTTATATTTTTAGTAGAGAGAGGGTTTCACCATGTTGGCCAGGCTGGTCTCGAGCTCCTGACCTTAGGTGATCTGCCTGCCTCAGCCTCTCAAAGTGCTGGGACTACAGGCATAAGCCACTGCGCCTGGCCAAAAATATGAATACATTTGGCTATTTCCACCCTTTCTGTTAATCCCAAGGATCTTCAACTTTTATTCTTCTCTTTAAGATAGTGAGTCCTGGAAATAAAAGTGAAAATGAACAGTTCTAAAAGGTTAGTATTTTAAAAATTATAGTTTGCCATTCTCAGGTTTATTCAAAATTGACTTTCTGATATAACTATATGTTTTTACAAATATAAGCATTACCTAGGTAGTAAAACATATTCACAGAGAGTTATTATCAAAAATATAGAGAAAAATTTTACATGTATATGTCCCATTCCCTCCCCACTCCTTCCTGAGTTGTTGACATGAGAAAATATCTTTCCAACAGTGGGGTATCATTTGTTTGGTGAATTTTAACGTTTGCATGAGATGGTGTTCATGTTTGTGAAAAATATCGAAGACTTCTGACTTCTTTCTTTTTAACTGCACATGGCTCAATCTAATAAATTTTCAATATAGATTCTGATATGGTTATAATCCCAATCATACCACATTTAAAAGCTATATTCCTGACTGTGTTTCTCTGCTAGCATGACGCCACAAGGAAAATGAAACCAACCCAAACAAAACCCTCCTTATAACAGAAAGTAAAATGAAGCTTGTAACGACTGTTTTGAAAAATGGTTTGAACAGTGAGGAACAACCAATTTTTCAAACACTGTTGTAGCTGTTTCAAGCTGTAGTGTGGATAGTGTATGCAAGAAATCAATAAAGGGAAGAGATCTCTCTCTGACACAGATGAAACCTAAAAATACTGTTAAGACCAATTCTCCCTCCATGCATCTGTTACTGCATTCCACTAAAAGGTGTTGGGAAAAAAATCAGCCAAATTCTACTAGAACGAAGCATCCAGACAAGTGACTCTTCAAATAATTAAAAAAAAACAAAAACAAAAAACAAACAAACAAAACACACTACAGTAGAAAAAGGGGAATGGGGGAAAAAAGATTAAGCACTTAACATGTTGAGTATATA
Organism: Homo sapiens; assembly: GCF_000001405.40. Lineage (NCBI taxonomy): Eukaryota > Metazoa > Chordata > Mammalia > Primates > Hominidae > Homo > Homo sapiens. Next base: position 114,746,292 of record NC_000003.12, on the reverse strand, counting down.
CCCAAAGCAGAAAACTCAGTGAGTGAAAAACTTGTCCTTCAAAAGAAGATACTTTCTATCCTTCACCAGTAACACAGAATTGATAGTCTGGTAACAGAAGCCTTTTAAGTAGGGGTGGTGGGAAGAACACTGTCTTCCCAAAGGCTTCAGTAGGTATTCAATTGCCCAGGGCAATCTGATCAGCATGTCCTTGTTTCTAGAATTGAGTAAACCAAATCAGGATGAACCGCACATGGTTTAATAGTTAACTTTTAGAACAAGGGGCAGGGAGATGCTTTTACGCCATAGGCCCAGTGTTCATTCCAATCTCATTACTAAAGTCTGTTCTGAGAGCATTTACAGCTTTCCGGAGAGTCTGAGTTTGGCTGAATCCTGAAGATGGAAATGTAGCTTAATGACCTCCTTGTCCTGGAGTCTCCCTTAATACAGGTGAATTTTTGTGATAAATCATTCTCTAGAATCCAAAGTATTGATTGATATCATCATTATTACTATTATTATTATGATTAGCCCTTTCTTATGTGGTTAGTTCTCTCTCCATTTTCCTATTCTAGGAATAAGTGTAAGTTTTGTGAATATGCATTTGCTCTCTCTGAGTTTCTTTGAAACAGTTTATGTCTTCTTTCAAGTTGGAAGTGTGAGATATTTTGAATTATAGTTGGATGTGCAAGTCCAGTCCTGCTTTTTAGAGATCAGGAACAGAAAAGGTTCTACAAACAATCCTTTATTTGACTAAGAGACAGAACAAAGGAAGGGAGATAATTGTATCTTTGGGTGATTCAGTCTTCGGTGCTTAGTATTGATTGACTAGTGGTCTCTTTATCCTGGCCTCTGCTTTCTCAGATTCCTAAACAGACTCTTCCCTTATGTGTAAGAGGAACTCCCTCTTAGCATCTTCTCAGTCTCTTCCAAAGGAGAGTAACCATGGACGAGGATTTAGCATATCTAATGAATGGGCATTGGGTTATCAATAAGTATTAAGGGAAAATAACAACAAGAAAATTGAGGGCAGATTCATGGTAAGCATTGTTTGTGGAACTGTTGGACGGGTCTGGTGTGTAGTTGATGTTGTTGTTCTAAACTGAGCAGCAACAGTAACAACAAACAACGAAATCCTACTTCCCACTCTCTTCTTCCTTTCTATTCAAAAACAACCATCACTATCACAATAGCCCAGTAGACAAAATAAAAGCATGTCTATATTTTTGGTATATTACTGTATGTCTTAACTGTAGTTTCTCTGCCACACATTAACAGAGTTATTTATCCCTGATGTTTTTCAAAGATCACCTTTGTGCTTGTCTGCATAGCTGTTCTAATAGTGTTACTATTGTCTCTTCTTCATTATCTCCTTTTATTTGAGTTCTTTTTTTTCACGTATGCAAAGAGGCTCTTTTTCTAGGCTCTTTGCACACATTCACCATTGCACTAGGACAGATGGGTGTTTTTCTATATAATGCCTTTTAAAGTGAGAAGACAGCAAGAATAGATTTTGAACAATATTTTACCAGCATTATTGAAAAATTAGCTACTGTATATTCTATATACACACACAGCAGCTGCATAAAATGCAAATTCTATTCATGTCTGATCTCTTCTGCATTTATATGGTGACTATCGCTGTAGCACCTAAGCACTTTATGTTATTTCCTCTTATTATTATTTACCACCTGATCATTCCAGAGTGCTTTTTACAATCAGAGAATTTCATTAACAACCCATTCCCTCGCTCTTTGTTTTTCAGCACCCTTGCATGTAAAAGTATCAAGCATCTTGGTAGCTATATCAGATAAATTACAGTAAAAAGATAGAGGGCTTCCGACAGGAGGGCAGGGGAAAAAACACCCTAAAGCATCTCCTAAAATTTGGTTTGTGTTTTATGGTATCCAAATAATGTTACAGAAGTCTGTAATTTTAGTGAAAACCAAACCACTAGATAAGCGCTTTTATTTATCATGGTTTCCACCATTGCAATAATCGAAAGTGTGAGGTGAGGAAGAGGAATACTGTCTGCACTTCATAGATAGAGAGGACTGGGCAATTGCACTTTCTTCTCACTGTGGAAAGCTTGTGATTCTTATTGACTCTTGAGCTGCCTTTAGCCCAGAAGTATAGAAGTCAATCTGTTTTAAAATCCAAAAAGCTACTGTTATATTTTTTAAGCTAAGAGGATAGAAACATGTTTATTAAAAGGTTCATTGTGATTATAGATGAAAGTGCGTGGTTGGTACCTTAACAGTTTGATTGAATAAAAATCAAGTTCACACTGGGGTTTCCTTCTCAGCTCTACTCCTTGCTTTCTCTTTGACTCCAAGCTAATTGCATAACCTCTGGTTGACTTGTGCCTCGTCTACACATTCAAAGTGAAATTCAGAAATGAGGTTATTATCTAACTAATGTAGGCTGTAACATTATTTCTCTAAAATATCTCTGTGAGAGAATTTTGAAATTTCTGATTTCAGTAGATAGTAAAAAAAATAACAATTTTATGGACCATCTCCTTTTATTCTTAGACAACAACCCCATGGAGGTGGATACATCAGAGTCAGCTGGAGGTGGTCAGAATTATTTGCAATGTTTGGTAAGACACAGATTACTGCCCCTTCACCAAGTTTCTGATTCAGAGTCTAGGGTAGGGACTGATAATTTCACTTCTGATATGTTTCCACATGATGCTGATGGGGACCACATTTTTTGGATCACTGCCCTAAGGATGATATGGCTTAAGTACATATAGAAAAGGAAATCAAGGCTCAAGTCATGGCAGTAAATTTGTGTCTATACTCTGTCACTTTACTTTTGGCCTCAAGTCATTGCAGTAAAGTGGCAGAGTATAGACACAAATTTAGGCCTTCTTCCTACTACAGACATTTTCTTTTCACTTCTACTAGAGATATTTTCACTTTACTTTTATGTTTTGAATGACTGTCAGTCGTCTTGAGATCCTAAGTGAAAAAGCATTGTAAAGAGTGGTAATTGGATCTTTTCCCCTTAGATCCAGTGGCTACCCTATTGCATTTGTGAAAGGAGAGGAGGAAGCCATTCCAAATTTTAGTGATTAGCTTTGGTATGAACAGCTTTTAAGGCCAGCTTTATACTTCCCTTTGGGGATGAGAGTAATAAACATAGTCTTCTTTGTATTCATTCATCATAGCCTGTACATAGATATGAACAGGTTTCTCTTTGATGGACTTATGACCATGTTCTGCTGTGACAATGCTTTGTAAAAAAATTGTCACTTGTATATTACTTCTCCAAAAATCATAATAAAAAAAAGATGTCAAAGTGAACATGATGGGGCAAGGGAAAAACCACTGCAGACAGACTGAGGACACTTGAGTCTTGTACTACCTCACATATTGGCACAGATATACTGACCTCCATGGGAGACACCCAACAATTCTTCTTTACCCAAGCTATATGTTACAGTCACCCAGAAAGGCTTTGAAACAAACACCCACATCAGGGCCCAGGTACAAGAAATTCTGATTTAATTGTTCTGGGGTAGGGTCTGAGTATCAGTAGGTTTTAAAAGCTTGCCAGGTGCTTCTAATGTGCAATCAGGGTTAAAAAACCACTGGCCTAGTGTTTAAGGGCCTGGGTTTTGAAATCAGACAGATCTGAGTTCATATCTTGGCTCTTTCACTTAGTTACTATGCAACCTTGGACAAGTTATTTAATCTCTGTCAGCTTTAGTTTTCTCGTATGTAAAATGAAAATAATAGCACTTGTCTTGTAGGAGATCTATGAAAATTAAATTAAATGATACATTTAAATGTTTGACATCGTACCTGGCTTGTGGTATGGATCTACTACACATCAGCTGCTGTTGCTATTATAATGCACCTCAGTTTCCTTATCTGTAAAGCAAAAGAGGGGGCACTTTAATTTATGAAATGGAGGACAAATATCTCAGGATTTCGTATAGATACTTGTCTGTCACCATATCCACAGTATCCTACCCGGCTTCATTTTTGCCGTTCTTACTTCCTACACATATTTATTATTGTTAGGTACAATCATTGACAGGCTCAACCTTTATTATGATATTTTACCAATAAATACTTCTCTGCCCTCCCCCTTCCCACCAAGATTAAAAACTTGAAACATACAACAAATCCACTTGTCATATGGGGTAATGTAGGTATGATGGGTGGTTGACCTATGGGTTTAAGAAATAAAAGGCAGAGTTTTGTAAACATGTCTAAAAACTAACATGCCCCTATTCTTGATTGCTATTTTTTTCTGCCATCACTCACTCTAAGAGTTCAGTTGTTGGTAGCTTTCATCCTAGAAAAGGAAAATTGTTCATACTCTACTTCTTAAAGATTATTGCAATTTGTTAATTCCCTTCATTTTCCCATTTTCCCTGATTTCCTTCTGTATGTCTTTTTTTCTTTTCTTTTTTTTTTTTTTTACAGTCTTGCTCTGTCACCCAGGCTGGAGTGCAGTGGGGCAATCTTGGCTTGCTGCAACCTCCGCCTCCAAGGTTCAAGCAGTTCTCTGCCTCAGCCTCCAGAGTAGCTGGGATTACAGGTGCCCACCACCATGCCCAGCTAATTTTTTTTTTTTTTGTATTTTCAGTAGAGACGGGGTTTCCCCATCTTGGCCAGGCTGGTCTTGAACTCCTGACCTCATGATCCACCTGCCTCAGCCTCTCGAAATGCTGGGATTACAGGCGTGAGCCACCGCACCGGCCTCTTCTGTATGTCGTAGAGAAGCCTTAGTACACAATGAGTAGGTAACAAATTTTTAAAGCAATAATGATTTCATAAGCCTATTTGCTTATCTCCACCAGTGTTTAATAGGTTATACTTTTCATATATTTTAATATCTCTGATTTTAAAAATTAGACTTTCTAAAAGTCTCCTTGTATCACTCTTAACATAGAAATTATGTTTTTGGGTGGACAGAAAGAAATTATTTGACTGTCCAATAAAAGTACAGATGGTTCCATTTTTCTTGACTCATCTCACAGCACACATTAGTCAGGTCACATGCCTATTTGGGAATTTTTGTAGTACTAGGTCACTTGCCCAGCTTTGGGGCACATAAAAGAATATTTTCCTGGCTTTTAAGTTTGTGGATCTTACACTGTGCCTGGCATGGAGATAGGAAGGACATTTTTTTCCATTAAGCTTTTTCACTGTGTTTTGACAGGAAAAGTTGAAACAGAGTCCCTACTGAGATTTTAACATGTTCCATGGTGGTAACCGTAGGAAATAGGGAAACAGGAAATTTTTGGACAGAAGGAAGCCAAGGAGTCCATCTCAGCCTGTCCTCACCTCAAAGATACCAGTTGGACTCCATAATATTATTTTTATCTCCATGTTTATCTAAAGTTTCGTATTTCTATAGTTTTCTTTCTGATAGCAGGGAAACATTGCTGCCAATTATCATGAAAAAGATTGCTCTCTAAACAGTACTCAGTTCCTTCTTCTGGACAAATCAATGGAAATATTCATTCAGATATTAATAAAGCAGAATTATGGGAGTTTTCATTTGGAAAAATGTATTTTAGTGTTTAAAGAGATTCTCAAAAGATATCATGAGAAAATCCATGTAAACTCCAGTGATAGAGAAAGGTACTTGTTTCACACAAAAATATATAAACACAGAATAATGACATTTTTTGTTCATTAAATTCAAGGTGCTTAAAGTTGCCCATATGCACACACATACATGTATACCTTCCATTTACTCTACTTCTCCTCTACCACCCACTGTCCCAACCTTTGGGAACCAAAATACTGAAGTATAAATCAACTCTCATTTCTGAAAGATCTATAATGCCATTTAAGTGAAAGTCCTTAACCAACATATATTGTTATTTTTCCCTAAAAACTTAATTATGGACATTTTGATGCATGTGTTTGTTTGTGTGCATTTTTCGTACCCACAGGAAACATTTTTCAAACAATCTGGTCGATGGATCTCTATTGAAAATTTACCATTCATTAGCATCATACCTATGCTAATAGTTTCTATTGTCTTTCATTATTATGAATGAGATCCTAGACACACCATTTTCCATCATTTTATTTAAATAGTGAAATACAGTTAACCAAATAGCAGTCATGGCTATTAGCAACTTTTTGATATACATTTGGCATGGCAACAGTTATATTTTATTTCTCATGTCTATATTAATACCAAACCTTAAAATGGATTATGAAAATACAAAATAAGCTGTTAAAAAAGAAAACTGCTCTTTCCAGATCAGAAACAGTACCTCACAGGACTGGAATTAACATCATTATCATTGCCATTTTAAACGTAATCACCTCAGATTACATAATCTTTTACTAACATGTTTGTAAAATTAGGCTTTTCCATAGTCCAGCTTTGAAAGATAAACACCATGTGTACATAAGCATAGGTAAAATATCTCATAGATACAGAGCCCATAAAATGGGCATATTCTCATAAAGGCAGGAAAAGGTTTGCTCAAGGAGCAAGCTGATAAGCACAGTGGTGGAATGTCAGAATGCCTAGGCTCTGTAGTTCAGCCTCTACCACTGAATGAGTTTACCCTAAAGGATTTAACTTCACTGTATATCAGTTCCTACATCTGACTCAATGTCAACTTAAACACCCCCAACATTTTAATAACAAAATAATTAAGATCTAAAATTGTTTTGAAGTGTTCAATATTATATACAGATACAGCCTTCATAATGCTCAAGCTTAAAATAGGAATTGGGATCAAATTGTTAGAAAAAGTTCTCTTGTTCCAAATGTTGGAGACTGACTAAGTGATGTCACAGCCTCAAAGTTTTGCACAGGTTGACCACAAAGGCAGAGCCACAGAGGAGGAGCTGGCTTAAACAGGGCCCTGTGATGGTGGACTATGTTTTTTAAACTAATAGAAGAAATGGGAGACACTGAAATCTGTGAGGAAGCATGTAACATGATCACGTTTGTTATGTCTCTTGAATTATCTAAGGTTTGACACAAAGGGTGGATTCAAAGGGCCTGACAATTGGAAGCTCTGGTATGATAGAAAGGTTTTGCCTTAAGACTGTAGTTCTCAAACTGAATTGCACCTCAGGAACTGGCTTAAAATTCAGATTCTAGGGCCATATCCCTAGAGGTTCTGATTCCACGGTAGTTCTTGGGTGAGCCTGTGATTTTTCATTATAGCAGCACCTCTTAAAACCACCCAGGTATGGCCCATTCTCTGCTCAGCATTAGTTCTTTCCACTTCAATACGTTGGCACGATGGCCAGGCATGATGGCTCACACCTGTAATCCCAACACTTTGGGAGGCCAAGGCGGGAGGATCACCTGAGCCCAGGATCGCTGATGCCCTTGAGATCAAACTGTGAATTTTTTGTCATAACTAGTCAATAGTCTAGCATCCAGCTTATGTGGTTTCTGGTTATGGACAGTACTGAAAAGATTATTTAATGTTCTATAAAGTCCTACAGACAGAACATTTGATTTTTTCAATGGAAATTCTGTATCTTTGAAACGTTCTCTGTTTATTCCTATTACGTTTGCCTGTTTTAGTTTTTAGGAAAGAATACAAATACATCTGTTTGGTCAGAATTTTTACTTAATTGACACTATAGGATTTATCGGAATAGGGAGTCTTTTACAAATTTTGATATTGTTTTGTCCTGTTTTTTATGCATGTGCCCAGATGTCTTCACAAAACTAAAATGAATTTTTAAAAAATGAACAGTCTATTTAATGCACTTACCACATGTTGTTATATGAGAAGTGTGACATTTGACCTAACCTCTCTAAAACCCTTGAATCTATAAGGGTAAGCAAGAAGCATCCCCATTACTAAGAAATTTTTGTCATATGAAAGAAAATCTATCTTATTTCACATATTCAATTCCCTTGTCATTTTACATTATAAATAAATAACAAACCAATTTGGCACATGCCCACCGATTAAAAATAAAAGTTGTCAGAGAGGAGAAAGACAAAAATATGAATTATTAATTATAATATTAAGCAGCACAAAAAGCCTAACATGAAATGATATCACTTAAAAAGATTTTATCAAAATAAAAATTGGGCAATGATATAGTGCTTATTGTACAATTCAATTGTTATTTTAAATGATAAATATATTTACCATATCTAGTATATTTATATCAAATTTGATGAAAAGATATTTTAATCATAGCAAATAAAGAAGTTATTTAGAGAATAGTAGCATAAAAGGAAAGCTCAATTTTAAAGTCTCACATTAAATTATCATATTGACCTAGTGGCTATATTCACTGTAAGATCATACTCTTGCATATTGTTATTTTTCAAATACCCATTACTAGAAAAAAAGCAAGAACACTTAATTAGCAGAAAGGGTGATGTTTTTCTTTTCATGATGATTTTGGAAGTTTATACAGTTCATAGTAAAATGGGAATGAATGTGGGATATTTTTCCTACATAGAGATTTGAAACAATATACATTTAATACTGGTTTATAAATAACTAAATGTAGGTTTCCAGCAGAGTAGAGTGATTTCACCTCAAAAAGGGAAGATGATCAGGGCTTTGATGAAAATATTTCTACCCATGTCTTCCTAAAACAGCCTTCCTAAGGAGGCTAGGCTTTTGGTAATTTAAATGTTTTATTTCTGATAAAATTTCATTTGTTTCATGAAATGTATTAAATTCCATTTGGAAACAAAAATTCTGAAAAAAATTTCCACATTTTGAATAATCTCATAGAAGTTATCCGTGTAGATTCTGAAGAAAATTCTTCATTTGCTATTCCCATGAATAGCAGTTTTGGTTCTGTTTAGTTGTATTTTCATTTTAACACTCTAGAGAGCTTCTTTGACTTGTGTTAAGCTTGCTTGTTCCATTTCAGTTGGGTTTGTTCATGCTGTCTTGATAGTTTATTCTATCAGGCATGATGTTACTTTACCGTCTCAATCCCTTGGCAGTATTTTTGTTTTTAGTTTTTAACTGAATTTAATGCTCTTGAAAATAGAGAGGTGGGTCCATATCTAGAAAAAAAAGGCAAAAAGTTAGACATCTCCATTCATCTTTACAGTAAACCAAATTTTCAAAAAAATGTTTCTCTACATTAAATATATTTCAAACAACTAAGTCTTTAGAGTTCTATTTAAATAAAAACACAAACTTTTGTGTCATAGACTACTTGGGCCCTATATATCTCAACATGGGTTCTAATATTAATTCATCTTGTCCATAGATTTGTAACTTTGGCTCTTAAAATATATTCTCTTCTAACTATTGCAATAATCACTAAGCATTTGGTAAGTGTATCTATAGTGGTATACCCAGAGATGGTGTCCCCTCAGTGCAGGTTATACAATAAAGAAATCAAACTCGGTAAAGATTTTCATTTTATTTCTCATTCTTTTCTTATCTGTAGCTCCCATTTGATCAGGGAACATAACTCCTTTCAGTATTGCTGTCTTATCCAAATTTTCATCCAGAAGTGACTTGCTTGGCCTCTGTAGTCTTCAGAGGCTGTTCATAAAGCTTGGGTTTCCCTTGTAAATCATGTAAGTTTCATGGCCCTCCAGTGTTTTTTGTTTGTTTCTTTGGGGCTCACTGATTCCCACCATGTACATCCATTTCACAGCTGCTGTCATCAGCTGTTCTCCCTCTGTGTGATTTATTTTTAATAACATCCCTTTATGCCCAATTTTGATAACCATTAGTCCCAGTAAATTCTCTTATGTTTAGTCCTTACTTGAATTTTACTTTTTAAACCACTGAGTTAGAACAAGAAAACAGCATAAGCAGTGACAGAAAACCAAATGCAGAACTACCAAAATGAACGCCTACAATCCTATCTGATGAATGAGGCAGAAATGAAGAGATTGCTCAGAGAACATTCTGGAATAAAAGAAAAAGAAACCTCAATAGAACATCATTCCAGAAGGGAAGAAAATATAGTCAGTAAGTTATGAATAAAATCAAGTCATATTAAAAAAATAACCAAAAGAAAGCAACCGGCTTTTAGATATTTTTTAATTACAGTTAATATTTACTGAGAGCTTTTTATGTGCCAGGCAACATGCTAAGCAACATTCATTCATCATTTCATTTATTCATTGATTTCTTGCTAGAAATTCATGACAATAGAACCTCTACTATTTCCTTCATTTTACAGAAGTGAAAACTGAAGTTTAGTTTAACTAAATTATCCAAGGTCACACAGCCAGGAATGTGGAGCTAGAATGGAAACTCCGGTGTATCCTTTACCTTTATACTGTGATAACTTTCAAATGACAGCCTTTAAAAATAAACAAATACATAAATAATTCTGGTTTGACTACTCTACATAAACATCATGAAAGGCCTCATTCAATCAACTCTTGACTTATACTTAAGTGTTATAAATACTTGAAACGTTACCATCATAGAGTGTAGTTCAGGTTTTGGAAAATGGATCTTTCCCCAGGTTTGCTAGTTTTATTCTCTGTAGTGGTGAGAATCCTTTTTGGCTCACTCTGTTCCTAACTATAAGTAATGTTGGTTAATATTAAGAAAAAAATCTTCTGAAGTCTTTCAATATAATATATTTTGATTGAAAAATAAATGAGTATGTATCTGTAAGTTATACAATTATTATAAACAAGATGAGCTGCTTAGATAATTAAAGAGGTTTCCATTGACTTATTTCTTGGTTATCAACTGGTTATATTTTAAACTAATATATTAAATTCTGATAATCTAGAACTTTGAGGGTGATAAATTTCATGTACTGGATAAGTTTAAGGCAACGTGACTTCTTTTGATGTATGATGGTTTCATGATAAATAAGCTATTCCTCAGTATAAAAATACTGTTCTTAAGCCTGAAGGAATAGTGGCCCATATATAAAATCTAGTTTGGGCCCAATGCATCTGCTGTATACAGTGGTCTAAGCCAGCAAGTTGATAAATTCAGAAACTGAGCAGCCTGGAGCCATATGAGATTCATACTGCCTTGAGTTGCAGGATACATATATATTATTTGATCCAGACATTTTTCATATTTCTTTTAAACAAGCAGAATCCTCTTTTCAAACTAAATCTTATTAGAAACTTAACATATGGAATAATGAGTAATATTTTATTGAGATAAACTCATTTTCAAATTCAGATTATTTATCATATTGAATATTATAAAGTCATTCAATAAGAATATAATGGCAAATATACAAAGGAATAAAAACTCAGCATTGGATTATTGTATTGGCTCAAAAATCAATGTATTTTTGTATGGGGAATATAGCAGATACTCAAATAACATGGTGTCATAACGCTGATGGGAAAAAAAAAAAAGAACTATTCCCAGTGAGCCACTGTGTGTGTAGAGTTGGCACTTTCTCCCCATATCTGCATAAGTTTTCTCTGGGTAGTGGGTTTTCTCCCACATCCCAAAGATGTGCGTGTTAGGCTCATGGGTGTGTCTGAGTGAATGTGGCTGTGTGTGAGTGCCCCCTAAGATAGAATGGCATCCTGTCTAGGCTTGGTTCCCACCTTACCAGTCCCTGAGCTGCTGAGATAGGCTCCATCCACTCATGACCCTGAACTGGAATTATTGATTAAATAATTATCTTACTTTTATTAATCTTTCTTAAATGTATGTACAGCTCACATTTATTTCTTGCTTTTATTAATCTTTCTTAAATGCATGTACAGCTCACATTTATTTCAATGTTTAATATCAAAAGTGTTTTGATCTTTATTTAGAAACTTGATGATGTTTCTGTGACCCAAAATTTGCCATAAGAACTTAACTCTTATTTATATCAATTAGTCTATGGTAAAATTGCTTTCATTATATGTTGTTTCACTTAAAATCACAGTTTCCAAGAACCTATGGATGGCAATAAGTGAAGACTTTCTGTACTATACTATATGGTATCAAAAAAATCATGAGACTGATAAGTAGTTGCATATTGTAACAGTTTTTTTCAACAGCTTGTATTCCAATCTGAGAGCCTTAATTAGAGGCCTGCATGAAAGCTGCTTATTCTTATTGTACATAATTAACTTGTAATAACACATTGGTCTCCAGTGTTTTTTAAATTTATATAATACATTTAAATTTGCATGTCATTTTTATCACAATTGCAAATTGATATATATGTATTTACTACATATTATATATGTATTTATTTTTTTATTTATTTATATCTATTTGATAATCTTTTTGTAATCATCTCTTTGTAAGTCTGGGGACCATGAAGCATAGTTTGAAAACCACAAATTTGGTTCAAACAATTTTTAGGAAATAACTATCTTTTCTTTTTCTGATCCTCTATTAGGTAAGAGACAATTTAACTTTTTGGGGATACCGTATCTTGTGGGTTTTGGTATATGTGAATCATTTATTCTTCTAAAGCTAAAGCTACTGAAGGAAAAGGACTTTGTTTTTATTTTTGTTTTGGTTTGTTTCCTCCAGGAGCCTAAAATTCCGTATTGTACATAGACAGTCCAGGCCATCTAGTTACTCTATGTGTACATCAGAAAACTTGAAAGAGGAGTCCAAATATCAGTCTCAGTCCTTTCTTCTACCCTTCCATGCTTCTACTACTACCTCTACATGATGCCGTTGATAGCAAAAGCAATCCAATGTATATCAAAATGTCATGTTTACCCTACATATATACAATTTTTATAAAGCAACCTAGTTAATTCTCTTGGCTTCTAGTTTTGGAAGCTCCCAAGATGAAGGAGGGTGAGAGGGCATAGAGGTAGAAAAGAGGTAGAAAAGTGTAATTAAATGCTAGTGTAGACAGGACAGAAGGAAGCAAGATAGTCCTGGCACCACTAGTGCCTTCTCTAGAAAACTTTCAAGTCTATAAAAGAATGACCAAAAATCAGAATCAACTGTCTGGGCCACAGATGAAAAATCAGATCAAATAGAGAATGTGGTATTAGCTGTGACACCAACCAAATCACATTAGAGCAACCGGAACTAGAAAAACTTGTGCAGAAGCAGGCACACTCTGCAGCTTTTCAGCCTTCTGTCAGGCGTTGGGTATCCAGGTAGGCTTAGGCATTGGAGAACTACCTGTTATGAAAGTCAAGCCTTATTGAGACTCCTGCATGATGAGCCAGTGAGGAAATGAGAGCAAATATAGTATGCTGTGAATTCATAGAACCCGTAAGTCTGTTTCTATAAATGGGTAACATTTCCTACTAACTTATGTGGAAAAATCATTTTTATAATATATGTGTTTACATTAAACCAATAAAATGTCTTGTGTATGTTGGAACATTTTGCTTTTATGTCTGGTAGACCATTTACCTCCTCTTCAGTGTCTGTTGGAACATTTATTTTATATTCTCTATTTCATTCCTGTTGGAGCATTTATGTATGATTTGTTTGTTACTTTTATCTGTTGATCTTGCCCTCCCCATATGCTCATGTCTGACTGGCCTAGTTTCCCACATTCAGTGTGTGATCTCTAGCCCTTCTTAAATATTAATTAGTGTAATTGAATTCCCTCCAGTATTTCTAACCTCAGGCACCTGAATCTCAGTGTTTTTATTAGAACTGATTTGTGCATTTAAAGTCCAACCTGCATCCCCATCCCCCACTGCCCAAGCAACTTTTCTTGATTAGGTAAAGGTCGTGGCTATGTGCATGCCTCAGAGAAAGTCTTCATGGGAAAATAAAGGCATTATATATCACAACCTTTCTCAGTTAAAGACTGAAAAATACAAAGCTGTCTTGAATCTTTGGCAAAGGAAGTCACCCAGAATGAATAGGAAAAGGATGTAGCCTTCCCCAGGAGTACTGCCAGAAGTGAAATAGAAAAGCCATGCAGAGCCCTGTGTGGAGATGAGAGCAAAGCCTCACCTAATCATAGTACATTTTCCTCTACGGGCACAGTCAGGGACTCTAGGACAACACTTTGTATAAATCTTCTCAGTTGTTCCAGTTTGCAGGTCTATCTCTGACCAACATACCGTTCATGATTAAACATGAGTGACTCTTTCCTTGGAAGATAACAGGAAAAAAAGGAAAAGGAGAAGAGCCTAAAAATAGGGATAGAGAACCATATACTCATGAGAGGATTTGTCAATGAGATAGTCAATTACTACCATCCATGTTTGAGGAGAAGAGAAACAATGTTAGATAACTAGAGATGTGGAAATCTTCTGATTTACAGAAAGTATAGAAAGGCAATTTATGATGATGCAACTACTTGCTGTTAGTCCTGAGCAACAGTCTAGAATGGATTATTAAAGCAATAAAGTATAAAACAATGTATCATGATCCACTGAAAGAAGTGGTGCTTGCTAGACAATAGAATGGCTTCAGTAAAATGATGTCTACAATATGTGATCTGATATCTCCTGGGTTAGATATATAGACAGATTAGTAACTAATCTAGGCACAGCCAGATTAGTAACTAATCTAGGCACAGCCGGATTAGTAACTAATCTAGGCACAGCCGGATTAGTTACTAATCTAGGCACAGCCGGATTAGTTACTAAACTAGGCACAGCCGGATTAGTTACTAATCTAGGCACAGCCGGATTAGTTACTAATCTAGGCACAGCCGGATTAGTTACTAATCTAGGTACAGCCGGGTTAGTTACTAATCTAGGTACAGCCGGGTTAGTTACTAATCTAGGTACAGCCGGGTTAGTTACTAATCTAGGTACAGCTGGATTAGTAACTAATGTAGGTACAGCTGGATTAGTAACTGGTTGATTGACCACACTATTAGGTACAAACAAATGGCTCAATATCATAATATAGGGGATTCCTGTGGCATATTGCAAGGATATTTTCGGCCTTATCTTGGTCACAAGTTTTTTTCAATAACTGGAATGAAAACATATTCATTAGATTTGCAGATGACATGAGTCCAGATACATAGAAAAGTTGTTGAATGAAGTAATCGAATTCCAAAGACATTGAAAGACTGGAATTATGGGCTACATCTAACAGATGAAATTTTCTAAATGGATAAATGCAAGATATTGCCTTTATATTTTAAAAAGACTAGTCATGAATGACGTAGCAGAGATATGACTTTCCAACCCAGTACAAGAAATTTAAATAGATAGGAACATCTTCAGGTATAAGTGGCCAGAATGGTAGGGAACTGAAACATGTGATATGAGCAATGGTTAAGGGAACCGGGATTAACAGGAAATTCAGGAGGAAGGAATGTAATAACTATCTTCAAGTATATGAATGACAGTCATCTAAAAGATAAATTATGTTGCTTTCTGTTACTCCAACAAATAGACCATCAGCCAGTGATGAAACCTACAAGAATAAAATACTCAAGTCAATATGAAACACTAACTTTGTAGCAGCCTTCTGTGTTCAAAGGTAAAAAATAGGAGGGTAAAAAATAATATGGAAGATAGACCTAGATTAAATCTCAGTTATGCCACTTATTGAATCCTTGTCTCTTGGGACATTTCTTGAATGTTCCATAGTCTGTTTCTATACCTATAAATTGGCTTTAAGTAATTCCTTCCTTACAGGTTGTGATGAGATAGGCACCATATAGGCACTGATACAGGCACCATATCAGTCTGTAGGCCTACCATAACAAAATACCACAAGGTGGGTGGACTAGCAAACAGAAATTGGTTTCTCACAACTCTGGAGGCTAGAAGTCCAATACTGAGGTGTCATCAGGTTTGGTTTTTCCTGAGGCCTCTGTCTTTGGCTGCAGATAGCCTTCTGCTGCTGTGTCCTTACACAGCCTTTTCTTTGTGAGCTCAAGAGAACCTCTGATGTCTCTTCCTGTCCTTATAAGGACGCCAGTCCTAGTGGATTAGAGTGCCAACCTTATGACCTCATTAAACCTTAATTACTTCTTCAAAGGCCTTATCTCCAAATACAGTTGGTAGGAGCTTAGGGCTTCACCCTATGTATTTTAGGGGACACAATCAGCCCATAACATTGCCTAATATCCACAAATCCTAGTTTCCTAAGACCAAGGTGTTTAAGCATAGACAGCTACCTTACAGGGATATTTTGCAGGATACTGAAGCCATAACCCATTTATGCCTAGTGTTCCACTATTGGAATGCTAAGCTTGTGGCAGTTATGTATATCCTGTTGCTCAAGGTCATCACCAAGTTCTGATTTTTCACACATACACACACACACACACACAAAATTGCAACATTTGGCATAAATGGGTTAAACAGATGATTGTCATATATAATTTTAATGGACTCTGCTAACACTGATATTCTGTCATTATAAAAATAAAATCTTTGGGGCCAGACACAGTAGCTCACACCTGTAATCCCAGCACCTTGGGAGGCCAAGGAGGGAGGATCACTTGAAGACAGGAGTTTGAGACAAGCTTGGGCCCCCAAGCAAAACCCTGTCTATACAAAAAAAAAAAAAAAAAAAAAATTAGCCGGATGTGTGATCCCAGCTACTCATGAGGCTAAGATGGGAGGATTGTTTGAGCCCAGGAGTTTGAGGCTGTAGTGAGCTATGGTCATGCCACCGCACTCCAGCTTGGGTGACAGAGTGAAACCCTGTCTCTAAAAAAAAAATTAAAAGAAAAGAAAATCCTACATATAGCATCAACTCTGAAATTCTGCAATTCTCTAAAAATCCTCGATAGCAAGGTAGTTGTTAAGGATATAAAGCAATTTTCTTTCAATAAATGTTTTCCTTTAGTATTCAAAAATTTAATATTATTGCACTAATATTTACTTACGTACTAGACCTCCCTTGATTTCTGCAGCCCAAATTCCCAAGATGGCTTCTAAGTGAAACCTCTGTCTCTTGTGAGAAGACACTGCTTTGTCAAACCTTTAAATGCCTCAGAAGATATATGTATAAAAGTAGAGGGAGAATATAATTATCTTAAAAACAAATTTAAGAAAACATAGCAACACCAACTACACAAGTAAATGCATGCATAAAGTAAAAATAAAAAGAGATAGGTTAATTTGTTCCAGAAGTTTCAAAGTCTCGATCTATAGCTTCGAGACTTTTTAATTCATAACAATTAATGGAAAATGCATTTTGTTAATACATCCATTGCTGTTATTCTCTATTTTACTATGCATATGTATTGCCTCTTATTTAGAAACTAATAGTTTAAGCTGAGACTATGCCAGAATCTAGCTATTAATGTTGGATAGTCTTTTAGTTTATCTTTCTTGCAAAGAGTATGTTAGTGAAAAATGGGACTGTGTTGTCTATTTTGGTGACAAATGGGACCGTGTTGTCTCTTGTGTCCATGGGTAGCTGGAGTCAGTTTTTTTATTTTTTATTTTTTTAATTTTAAGTTCTTGGGCACATGTGCAGGATGTGCAGGTTTGTTACAGAGGTAAACATGTGCCATGGTGGTTTGCTGCACCTATCAACCTGTCACCTAGGTATTAAGCTCCGCATGCATTATCTATTTTTCTTGATTCTCTCTGCCCCCACACTGCCCTCCCCTGAGGACATGAAAAGACACTTCTCAAAAGAAGACATACATGCAGCCAACAAACCTAAGAGAAAAAGCTCAACATCACTGATCATTAGAGAAATTGAGTGACTTTTAAAAGTCAGTATTCTACATGAATGAAATAACACATTCTCTCTCTTATTCTCTTGACAGACTAAGTCATGTTAAAAAGATGCACGTCTTCTCAAGGAGTATGTGCTTTCTTTCAGTCTAACTAAAAACAGAAAACCTGACCACTATTCACGGTTTTATTTCTTGGCAATGAAATAGCCTCCTCTTGAGAGGGGCAGTTACTGTAACTAGACGATGGTTACAACTGAGAGTTTAGTCTATGGTCTGATGGAAAGACCATTACATCTTGAGCTGCATTATCTGCATTCAAGTTCTAGCTCTTCCATTTTTTTACTTTGGGCAGTTAACAAATTCTCCAAGCCTATCCATGTTATGTAAAACTTTATTTGGACTTCTTTCCAGGTCTGCACAGTTTGACCCAATGTGGATATTTAATAAAGATTAATTTATGTCCTTTTTCTCTGATCCTTAATTCTTTCACCTTCTAATGGGTATACTATTAATACTTTCTCTACTTACCTACCCCACAGGATTTTTGAGACAATCAAATAACACGTTTGTGAGAATAATTTATAAACTGTAAAACACCATACAAATGCATTTCTCCTTCTTATGAGTGTTACGAGTGGATGGGGATGCTTAACTAGAAATTGAATTGGGACCTCCTAGGAATTTACATTGAAACTGTTTCCTAAGAGACATTAGAGGCCTCATGTTGTTGTCTATTTAAATTGCCTGACCTAATCTGTACAATGAAGATATTTAACAACAGGTATTAAATTTGATTGTCTATTTTTCTGTGGTATTTTCCAGGGAGCACAAGAAAGATTATTTCCTTTCCAATTTTTTTTTCCTGTATTATTGGGCTGCTGTCTGTTCTCAAATATACTGAGACAAATTCTTATCCTTTGTAACTATGGGGATCTGGGCCCATGGTGCTTACTATCATTATTTCTGTTGTATTTGTGGTAATTATTGTTATTATTATTAATTATACTTTGTAATTATATAGCTTCTTATTTTAAGGAAAGATAAATTGCTAGAAAATAAACAAGCTCCTGTTCTTTAGAGATTTTTGGAGTTTTGAACATTTTAAATCCAATTTTGACCTTTTTTCACAAAGATTTCTACATGAATCTTCAAACACAACATGTTTTTTGTCTGCCATCAAAAATAAAGTACTGACTTGTGAGATACTGCCCTCGAAGTTATGCATGAGAAAATAGTCTCTCAGAGCATTTCATTTCCTCTTTCTGCCTTTTAAATGATTTCTTACAGTATAGTTACCACATAGTGGAAGTTTGTTTTGGAGAAAGATTTTGAAGCAGAAGGTGGAGATGCTTAAACAGTGGCCCATGCCTAGGTAGAAAGTTCTCATTGCCCCTGCTTGCTTCTGACTGCCTTTTGAAGAAAAGAAAAAGGTGAACCAAGGTGAGATGATATTAGTTTGTGGATTAAGGGGCAGGCAGTTAAGTGCAGCCCAAGTACAAAATGTTCAACATGAAACTGACAGAGGCTTTTTGGAATAAAAATTCCACCTTCTTTCTTTAGTCTCTTGGGTCTGTTATTTTGAATTCTTGAATATCCTTAATAGTGATTAAGTTGTCTTCAAGTTTCCAGGTTGGTGGGCCTGGGCTCCTTTTGATCATGGGCCTCTTCATTCCCACAGTTAAGGACCTGAACCCAATAGAGGGATTAGAAAGCCAAAGAAGAATTTTGATCCCTAGGTAATCTTCATGTAGGTTTCTCTATGTGTTGGTATGAAAGGGAGGGTGAAATTTTATAGGAAATAAAGAGGGCTATTCCATTATATGGTGACTTTAGGAAATAGTCGTCCAACTCTTTCTTATCCATGAAACTCTTCATCCAACTCTTCTCTTATCTCACTGACTTTTTTTTTTTTTTTTTTTTTTTTTTTTGTGATGGAGTCTCTCTCTCTTGCCCAGGCTGGAGTGCAGTGGCACAATCTCGGCTCACTATAACCTCTGCCTCCCAGGTTCAAGCAATTATCCTGCCTCAGCCTCCTGAGCAGCGGGGACTACAGGTGCCTGCCACCATGCCTGGCTAAATTTTTGTATTTTTAGTAGAGACGGGGTTTCACCATGTTAGCCAGGATGATCATGATTTCCTGACCTCGTGATCCGCCCACCTTGGCCTCCCAAAGTGCTGGGATTACAGGCATGAGCCACCGCGCCCGGCCTATCTCACTGTCTTCTAAAGCAGTGGTTCTCCAAGTGACCAGCAGCATTAGCATTACCTAGGAATATGTTAGAAATGCAGATTCTTAGGCCTCACTTTCCCCTACTGAATAAGAAACTTTGAGGTGGAACACAGCAATTTGTATTTGAACAAGCACTTCAGGTAATTCTGATGCATACTAAAATTTGAGAACCACTGATCTAAAGAGATATTGAATTCCACTGAGAAAATATTTTGACAATTAAAAATTCTACCAGAAACTACAAGTGATTTTTGGAATCCAGAACCCTCTGTTGTTCTACTTCAAATTTATCTTTATGGCTTCATCCTAAACTGTTTTTTTTAACAGTCGTTAAACACTTTTTAACTTTGACCTGCGATTCATATCAAAACACCCCACCCTGTCTAAAATGATCTTTGTTCCTCTGTCTAGCCAAATCCTCTCTCTCCTGCATTATCCATTCAAATGTCTCTTCCTCACAAAACCCTTACCAGTCATGCCAGCATTCTCTCAGTTTTGGCTCCCTGTAACTCTCAGTGCCTGTACCATTCACCTTTTACCGGTTACATAGTCTTATCTGTGATATATCTTGTGTTACTAAAATAAACTGTCAACTATTATAATAAATAATAGGTTACATTTATTCAGTACCCACTGTGGTCACCACAACCCCCTCAGTGAGTTACTGTGCCTGACTTTTGCAGATCTTCGGTAGCTTACCCTGCCTCACACAGTATGTACTAAAAAGATTCTCCTTCAGCCTTACACTTGGCCACTAGCCTATATTGTTGTATAATGCTGAAAAACTTTTCTCATGTTGATGCCTTATTTTCTCCCCAGCTCAATTTTATGTTCAACTGCAATTAGAGACCATAATTCTCCTGTTATTTGTTACACAATAACTTTTAGAATATAGAGAGTTAATGCACATTTGTTGGTATATTGTATTAGAAACTCTAAACACATTTCTGGGATTTCGCTGATTGGGAATGAAAATGTTTAAATTTCTCCTTAGATCCAGAACAGTCTCCATGTGTAAGTTGAGTATATTCATTTTAGCGAAGTAATCAATTGCATTTAAAATATTCAACTCACAATTATATATTGACTTTCATTATCAATTTCGATTAATGCGTTTTGAAAATACTTTATTCTACAATGCATTTAGAGGAGGAAATAGCTGCTTTTGTTTATTCAAGGAATTTACCAATTTTATGAAACCTGTTTATTATTTTGTAAGAAGAAAATGGATGAGTCGATAGCAAATCTGACCCTTGTCTGTATACTTACATGTACCCAGTAGTGATGAAAAGAGATGAAGATAATGTTAGTGGCTAAATGATAATTGTTGAGAAGGCATATTTAATTGAAGAGAAATAGATTTTTTAACTCTGTGTGCATAAATATACTCTATAAACATTTTGTATTTGCACATGGTTTAAACTCATCTAACTGAATTCTGACTTAAGGAATAGAAAGCATGGTCTCTTCCAGGTCAAGCCACACTGTAGTTATTTGGGGGATAAATGCTTGGCTAATTTATATTCCTTTATAACTGTCTTTATTAAAGTGAAGACCCTTGACCCTGAGTCAGAATCACCTGGATGGTTCCTAGACTCCACTCCTACAAACTGAATCAGAATCTCTGGGATTGGAGCCCAGAAATTTGCATTTTTAATGATCATTTCCAGGTGATCATTAAAATAAAATTGTATTTTATAAAATTTATTTAATAAAATGTATTTTATTTTATGGCTCAATTAAATGTGAAAGCCATTCCTATTTGGACTCACTCTCTTTTTCTTTGGCAAATCAAATCTTCCAGAAAACTGATCTGTGAGTCACCAAACTGATAGTTGTTAAGCATAGAGTCTCAGTGACAACCTTAAAAGTGACTATTGCAATTTCCTTCAATAGACTTAATTTATTGAGTTCTGATACTTTTGTGTGCCAGGCATTCTAGTTAATTATCTAAATTAATTAATATAAAACCTAAATAGCTCTTTGAGATACATATTCTGGGCCGCATTTTAAAGAAGGGATAATTAAGGCTTAGAGAAGTAAATATCTAGGCCACCCAACTAGTAGTTGAATTCAGTTTGACCCTAGAACGTGTATTCTTAAACTCTGAAACAGAACTGAAAACAGAATTTGAAATAAAGTCTTCTAAATTCTGCCTCTCTTTCTAAAAAGGCAGCTGAATAGAGAAGGGGTTAAAATAGATGACAGCTAATTCCAAGTTTATGTCCAAACTCTGAGATTCTATGATGTTAGTCAACTGTCATCTTAAATTATATGGTTGGTAGCTATAGTGTTACCATGTGATGAGCTCAATCAGTAAACCATCACCTTCAATGTTATCAGAGAGAACAATGGAAGCCCCATCAACAGTTACCTGTCTGTTTTTACAGTCTTCCTTTTCCTCTACTTCCCTTAAGAAACCCAAGTATATCTTTGGGAGGCCGAGCGGTGGCTCACACCTGTAATCCCAGCACTTTGGGAGGCCGAGGTGGGCGGATCATGAGGTCAGGAGATCGAGACCATCCTGGCTAACACGGTGAAACCCCGTCTCTACTAAAAATACAAAAAAAAAAATTAGCCGGGCTCGGTGGTGGGCGCCTGTAGTCCCAGCTACTCGGGAGGCTGAGGAAGGAGAATGGCGTGAACCCGGGAGGCGGAGCTTGTAGTGAGCCAAGATAGCGCCACTGCAGTCCTGCCTGGGCAAAAGAGTGAGACTCCGTCTAAGAAAAAAAAAAGAAAAGAAGGAAAGAAACCCAAGTATATCTTTTTCTATGCAAAGGCTACTGGAATAAGCTTTTTATTATTTTATTGAGAGATCTCTCACAATAATGTGAGGCTAATTTCTCTGAACAATGGCTTGTTTTAATAAATATTTTGCAAATACAGCTAATACACTGTGTGGCTGACTCTGGTCCTCAACTCTAGCTGCACATTCAAATCACTTATGGAGTTCAAGAATATATAAAATCTTGTGTCTAAAACCTAGAGATTCCGATCTGTGAGTGTGGCCTGGAGTGGAGGCTGGAGGCTGATTTTTTACAGAGCTTCACAGGTCCTTCTATGGACACCCAGGATTGAGAATCAGTGATCCAACTCATACTTGTTAAAGAATTTGGTGATATCATATGCATTACAAGAGTGATTGAATGAAACAAAATCTCTATATAAGTCCCAGAATGAGTCCTTTAAAATAAAAGTAGAACCTTTGAGCCTCTGAAAAGCTGTCGCTTGGGCCATCCAAATATTCATATTGAGTCTCAGATAATGAAAAGTCACAAAATTAGAAGCCATTAGAGCATGGTGTTAAGTGGAATTATGGAAAACCATTTGTAAAATGCTGTGGGGTTTGGAAGGACCTGATTTTTTTCACAGACATTTTTGTAATAGAAAACAAGGTAGTGGAAATGGCAGCATATTTGAATCTATTTGCATTTCCTTATCAAAAAAAAAAGTAAAATAAAAGGGAAGGGTATAACCTTGCAAATGTATCTTGATCTGATATTATTTTTGCAAGTTAGACAGATTTGGGGACACCAGTCAGCCAGATTCAGGGCTAGCTATCAAATCAGAGCTCACTCTTCAAATCCCAGCATTAATAGGAATGATAAAGAGCTACGTTTCGATTAATCCTGCCCTGGACTTTAGACGAAAGAAACTGCAGTTTAATTACTGAGTGAAATTCACTTCATCTGATCTGCCTGTCTTTGCTATAATGTCATAATATAATCAGCATCACCCCCACCTGAAACAGAGCTGTGAAGTCCAAGGACCTGTTTGATTGGAAGAAATAAAATGATGCCCAGACAACAACCAGCCACAGTGCAGTAATTACTCAAACCTTGTTTTCATCGGTATGTCATTCTCTCATTGGCTTGTCATGACAGCAACTGAGAAAAGGATGGAAGAGAGTGTGATTGAAAAGGAGTCTGACCTGATGGAAGCAGACTAGGTGTGGGAGGGAAGAGCCAAGCTGTATAAAATCTTAAGGGTAATTAAACTTGTTTTTTTCTTTAATATGTATCCCACTGGCTGCTACTGATTTCTCAAGTCCAAGTTAAACCATTCAACTGATCTATCTCCCTGCAATTAAAATCTCTTCTTCAGTTGAAATTATAGTTTTTACTTTCAAAATAATTTATTTTCCTTTTGTAACTGGAATTTATTTGGCAGATTTTTTTTCTTAGGTCTTCATGTGGTTTTGTAAGTTAAACAAAGAGAAAGGGGTTGCAGATTTTCTTCTGTCAGAGGTAACAGCCTTTGGGAGCATTCCTTACTAGGTTTGCATACACCCATTGCCTTTATATAAAACCACTGAATCCAGTAAGGTAGCTAGCTTTCCTATGAATTATTACCCCATATTACACAAAATGTTTAAAGTAACTTTCTGTATGTCATGTAGTTAGAAAGGGCCCTGAGCCAGGATATGAACCAATATTTGTCTGACTCTGGGTCATACTCTTTTGACTTTTACACCCTCCACTCCCTTATTCTCACTTATTACAATTAATACTTCTCCAGTTGACTCATTCATCATGTTATTGTTGGGCATCCCCTATATGCGAAGAACTGTGCTATACTCCAGATATACATTAGTGAAACTAGAAAGAAGAATCATTTTCAAAGAGCTTTCCGGTTTGGTGGTTCAGTTGCTTCTGTGGCTTTTATTGTAAATTGATACTTTAAGTCCAAAAAGCAATTGGACCATTAGGAACAAATGTACAATGTGAAGTCAAGAAGATCTTCTTTATTTCCTTCTTTTTATTCATAATATAACCCAAAAATCTCAGAATTGAGAATCCCAAGAATCCCACGAATTTATTGCTCATATGTAGTCAGTCATCAAATTATATCAAATCTTGTCATATATAATCCACCAAAAGATCCCTTGTACCTAGGAAAAACAGTAAGTGTGGGGGTTAGGAGAACAGGCTCTGGAGTCAGATTGCCTGGGTTTGAATCCAGGCTTCACCACTTACTAACTGCATAACCTTGAAAAAGTTGCTTAATCCTTATCTGTAAAATGGAAACAATAAAGTTACTTACCTCTTAGGGTTAGCATGGAGATTAATGGGTTAATCTACATAAAGCACATAGTTCGGTGCCTGGCACAGAGTAGAACTTTAGTAAATATTGTTATTTTTTCCTCCACAATGTCTCTAGAACATGTTATTTCCTGTACATTTCTGCTGACACTACCGAAGTCAGATATTTATCACATAGTACCTGGGTTGTTGCAGTGGATCACTTCTCATTCTCTTGCTCTCACAAGCTCGCACTCTCTCTCTTTCTCTCTCATTACCTTTATGCTCTCCCTGTTTCAGTTTTTTCTGTCCACCATTCCCAATTATTTATACTAGAATATCACTGTGACCATGCCAGTGTCCTACTTTACAAGCCTTTAATAGACCTCTTGTGTTCACAGAATAAAGTGGACTACTCAGCCCATTATTCAAGGACCCCGTTTCGCATTCCACACTCAACCCATCTTTCCAGCATTGTTTCCTATTACAATTCCAACTAACTTGTTTATTTGCTGCTCCCAAATACATATCTCAATTTTCTGCTTCCATGCTTTCTCTCATGCCCTTCACACAACTTGAAATGTCTTATCACCTCCCAAATCTTACATGTTTTTCAAAGTATAACTAGATTTGTTCATCATACTGAAGCTTTCCTTTGTCAGCCTACATATCAGTGATGATTTTCTCTCTAAACCCCTATTCTGAATATCTGAATTTTATTGCATAATAATTCCTTCTGGGCATTATCCCAACAAATAGATATTAAATATGTCAGGCACAGGTCAGTGTCTCCATACACATCATTATTTACCCAATAGCATCTATCAAAGAAAATCAAACATAGATATACAATTAGTATATGCCAAATGAATACATGGTCTGAATTGGAAGTTTCTTTCCTTGTTCTAAACACTTTTTTTCCAAAAAAGTTACTCCAAATTTAGCCCTTTATTTCTACTGATTTTCTAAACTTCCTTTTGAATTATTTTGATGTCTCCCTCCTTAATCCTCTCCAAAAATCACTCTTATAATGCCTTTACATTTCCACAGTCATCATGCTGCTTTCTTACTTGGCATGTGGATATGGATAACCAGGCTACTAATGGATTCTATTTCCTCTGTTCAGGTTTATTCTGCACCAGTTACGTCAATGGTAGAGTAATACTTGCATGTCTATAGAACAGAAATTATAGAACCCACCCTTTTTACTTTTTGTGGTTGTCAGGAAAGCAAAAGATATTTTATGCAAAAATATTTTATAAACTGCAAAAAGCTTTACAAGTACGAGGTGTCATCTATATTTAGATAATATATTTAGATATATATTTAAATAATATATTTAGATAATAGAGACTACACCTTGTACTTGTACTTTTCCAATAAGCATGTATTCATGTACTAGATGTATAAGAAAAATATCAAAAGTAATATATGATAAGCTATATCATATTTCTTGAATATAAACAATATATACATATTATACACAATATATACATATATACATTATATATATTATATATGTAAGAATTATTTCTCCTACATTTCTATATCTTCCCTTTTTTCATTCAATCCTACACCTCTCTTGAGAAACTTGCATTATTTGGCCTCATTATTTCTTTAGATCTGCCGGGCAAATGGGAGTCTTCCTTGAAAGCTACTCACTGGGAGGATTTTTTTAATGACTTCCTTAAAAATCAGCAAGCAGGACTGATCTGATATTTGACATACTGACAGGAAGAATCTTAACAGTTTCTAACCTTCCTAAAACAGCATTAAAATACATCAGCTTTACCCTGTACCTCAGATATCAAGATTGTGCGAATTCTCTGGCCATGTGGATTTTCTTGACATTTTTTAGTCAAAATCCTAACCAGAGAACAATATTTGTAGTTCAGCAATTCCGGTACAGAAAAGCCTTCTGACTTAGTCTACTGCTGGTTCCAACTTTTTCTTACGTGATATGGTTCTGTTAATCAGGGAGAGAATTGATGGACAGTTAGATAAAGGCTTAGAACTTGCAATCGGTGCCCCTAATAACCCAATACTGGAGGGAGACACTTCAGTTTTGTTTTATTGTTAGGAAACAGAAACAGGACAGGCAGAGCAGCCTTCATCCCATTATTTCTAGTGGAAGAGGGACCCCAGAATGTTCCTCATGATATTCAGTGGCAGGCAGGCAGTCCGCTCCAGCTAGCTTTGTGTTGGATCTTTTAGCTATGTCCATATCATTGAGGTTCAAACCTTTATTGCACCTGAATTCCTGTGGCCATTATCAATGGATTCATATCTCCATGAATTTTCTTTTCCTTAAGGTCTCACCTCATTGTTTTATGTTTTGATATTATGATAAGCAGCAGGTGTCCTCCAGGCTCCCTTCTTGCTTCTATTTCCCCCCCCTGCACAACCCCCTGGACTTCCTACACATTATCCAGCTACCAAAATGCTCACTTTCCTGGCTGTGTTCCTCCTAAAGCAGCTAATCTTTACTTCTTCTTCCTGGCCTTTTGGCTCCTTCTGCTTGTGTGGAGTTTTGAGTTAAATTTTTCGAGTTAATATTTAACCTGTGAGATAACTGTTTACAAAATTGTTAGTTGATAATCAGGGATTTTTTTCCTGGATTAATATGGTTAAAGTTTAACTTAGTGGAACAGCTCACACACATACAAAATAATAAATACATATGTGTATAATTAAAGTATTAACTCTGGGAATTTTGCTACTATGTTCTCATGACCCAAAATGGAGTATTTGTTATAGTCTAGATAAAAGAAAAACCTTGGTTAAGAGTCTGGCAAGCTGACTCTGTGGAAGAATTTAAGCGGAAAAGGGAGCCAGAGTCTACTCCTAAGTGGCAAGTGGCAGGCAAGTGATAGAAACGTTCCTTTTTTTTCTTAAGAAAATGATCTTTATTCATGTTATTTTTATTATCACATTCAAAAGAAGTTATTGGGATTCTCTCCAAAAGTGGGTTTGGATATATTTTGGCTTTGATTATCCTTGTAATATCTTGCGATATTTTCTCGTGTCAGTGACCTTTTTATATGTCACAGCGCGTGGTTGTATCTTAGAGCCAGATGTGAGGAAAGCAATCCCTGTGTTCAGGTACTTCCCTCCACTCATGTTTGTAAGTCAGGAATGACTGTTTTTTCTCTTGAGATGAAAGTGAACTTTAACTCCATCTGACATCAGAAGATGGAGTACTGGTAGACTTAGAATATATCTTGTATTCTTAAAGGAAGTCTTCATGCTTTTGCTGTGGGTAGGGGGAACAACCTAACACAGAAAACATATTCAGGTTACTTTAGTTCACTTGGAAATGGTTTTCGTATTTACTTCTTGCCATGTAGACCTCAAAGAACAAGTGTTTGAAGAAACTGGGTGGAGCAATTAAGTGGATCTAGGTAAATGATCACTTATGAATTTTCAAAAGTAGTTCATAAATTTTGCCATGAGGTATGTGGAATAAAAAAGCTTCAAGCCAAACCAAGAATAAGATTTTCTACTCTTTTTTGTATATCAAAGTCATAAAATCAGACCATCAAAACATCTGACAGTCCACTGTTTTTCCAAATATACTGTGTTTATCCCAATTCAGAAATAAGAATGAATTGCTAGTAACAGATTTCAAATTTGATGAGGCTTAAATAGGCTTAAGTGCCCTGTAAGATAGTAGAGAAAGTTGAAAAGAGGGGTATCCCAAAAGATATTACAGTTTCGAGGAGGAAAAGAAGCGGTTATCCGTGTTAAATTGTTGCAAGAAGTTGAGTCAGATGAAAATTAAAATGTGACCATTGCATTTGGCAACAGTAGATATGGTAGAGTGGAACGGATAAAAGCCTGATTGGAATAGATTAAGAAAAGAATAGAAAGTGAAGATACGGTAATAACTAATACGGACAATTTTTCTAATACATTTTGTTATGAAAGGAAGAATCAAAATGGGGGGTGAACTGGAGGGAGTCTTGGGATCAAAAGAATAGCATATAAATATACACAAACATGGTAGGTTTTGTTTCTGTTTTTGTTTTCTTATGTGGCATTTTGTTTATCTGCCTCCCCAGTGGAAAAGCAACATGGACAAGAATCAAAGCCTCAAATCTCTAGTAGAAAGAGACATGGAAAAGGTAAAATCCATCTGGTAAAATGTAAAAGGGACTGGCTCAGATTCAACAGATCTTGGTCTACTTAAAGTTCTACTAGCTACTGGTAATGTGAACCTCAATAACCTTTCTGTGGCTATCAGTTTGCTTATTTATTGATAACGTCTAAAGTTCCTTTATGGTATTCTGTATCTATGAAAAAGGAAAAAAGCAGACACATTTCATAAACCTCTCTCTAGTAGAAATTAGTTTATATCATTCACAATTTTATTATTTAGAAAACACACACATCTTGTTAGTTAGCCCTCACAAGAATGCTATGAGGTAGGTGGTTAGATTGTTTTGTTTTAATGGAAAAGGAAACCAAGGCTCTGCAAGGGTAAGTAACTGGCAAAACCACACAGTGTGCAGGCAGCAGAGGCAGAGGTCAACTTCAAGTTTTCAGAATCTAAGTAGAATATTCTTCCTACCATGTTCTGCTCTACATACACCTCCCCTGTAGCCTTTTGTTTTGTTTTGTTTTGTTTTGTTTATTCTCCTGGATCTTCAATGAATACCCCCCACTTTTTTTCATTTCTGGGCCAGGTTTCCATTATTTTCCCTTCTGTGCATTCCACTTTCCTCAGAACTTTCAGGTATGGCCACCCCTATAAATATTTTCATTTCTTCATAATACAGAACCAAGTGCATAAGGGTTGAAAATCTATATTAAGTTCATAGGAAAAACAATCCCACGCCAAAACATTTTGCCAGACTAGTAAAATTGCATTTCAAACAACCCATGAAAAATCAACGCTGTAACCACAATGGCCAGTGTTAGCAGTGGAAACCTTCTCATAATATCTTGTCATTTGGACTTACAAGCTTTTAAAACCAGAGAATGAAAAGGGAAGAGCAAAAAGGTAGGAGGCAAATATGGCAAAGGGGAAGTGGGAGAAGAGATGGCACAGGAGGGGTACAAGTGTTGCTTAGTGTAGACCCTGCAGACCAAAAATTATTGTGTTTCTAACACTATTGATTTTTTTCAGCAGCTGATATTTCAATCTGGGTGCAGTGTGTCTGTGAGTCTACGCACACTGTCAAGAAGAAATATGATAGTGTCTTAAAAGATTAATAATATCGCTGGTCCTCTGGAGGCCTGTCTTAATTCACTGGCCTGTTCCCTGGCATGTACTGTAATTTATCTAGTCTGATTTGAATAGCAAATGGCAATCGGCTGCCATTAGGGAAATGGGCATCATTCTTATTGATCCAGCATGGGCTGGATTTTATTTAAGGAGAACTGCAAAATGTTATTACCTTCAGGAGGAGAAACTGAAAACAGAGCTTTTCCCGTGTGTATTTCGGAAATGTTCTACCTTAAAAAGGGGGGAATGGATTGTGGATTTAGGAGAACGGAGAGAGATTATCATCCTGTTGTGTGAAAAGGGACATGTACAGGCTGTTTACAGCATAATTGTTTATCAGCAGGAAAGAATGCTCATGATTATAAGAGGCCACGGGCCTCAGAGGTTAGAACATTGGAAAGATAGTCTGACCTGTTCCAGTCCAACTTTGTGTAAAGCCTCTAGTTGCTCAGAATCCATTTGTCAGTCTGTAAAATGGGCTAAAAGAATCTGTTAGCAATGTGTAAGCTTTGTTTAGCATTTGTTTCACATCCTGGGAGTCTTGGATAAAGGATGTTATAGAATTAAAAACACACACACACAAAGATCTTATTTAATACTGTGCATGTTGTGGGGTAGTGTCCAGTATTTATTATTGCTCTTCATTCAGCATTCTGGAAGGGACAAGTTATGTGCTGAGTGAAGCAAGACGAAGTAACCTCATAATTCTCATTAACCATTACTATATCTCTCAGGTCAACGTTGCATATATTGACTTTAACGTTCACCTGTTGGGGACAGGTCTAAGCCTACACTTTTACCTTGTTTTACTGAATAAAGGAAAGCTGTCAGTGTTATTGTAGCAAATGTGGGAGACAGACTTGGGTCTTACTGCCTACCCCACACTCTCTTTGCTGCAAGAATAGGAGCTGAATGTACCATTTCTCTGAGCTTGATGCACATTTCCTGTGAAGGAGCGTGCACATACCTTATCCCTAACCTTCCTTAAAAGCCTCCCGGAGGGGAAAAAGGTATGACAAAGGTGGCTAGAGGAAGGGGCTCATTGCTACCGAAATTCTTCTTCATTCCACCTCGGGTTGTTAGGGAAAGAAACGATAATGTGCTACAGGAAATGGCCAAGTATAAAAGCAATAAAATAAATTGAAAATGACTTTGTTTTTTTGAGCGGCAGTAATTGCTATATGTTGTGATGTTTGCATAAGGAATTAGTTAATGTGTAGCAGAATGGCATGTGATACTTTTTATTTGCTTGATGACTATAGTCTCTGAGTGAATGACTTATTAAGGTTAATAAAGAAAAATTTGCTTGTGACTTGTAATGATCCAATTGCTAGAATTTAGCATCCCCTTATGCATTGTTGCCTAAAGGGGAGAAGGAAAAAAACCTACACACATTAATGGCCGACTGGCTATGATTTTTTATAGTGGTGTGAGAACAAAACAATGTCTTCTAAATTGTTGGTCTGTCTATCTTTCTGCCTGCCTGGGCAGGAACGTTATGGCTTTCTTAATTCTCCTGTGTGATTTATCATCCTAAATTCATTGTTTTGCATAACTCTGCTCAAAATGAAGAAATGTCATTATTTTGCAGCGAAAAAGTTGTCATTTGCATAATGCCTGCCATTAATTATTGTGAGACTAATGCAGTTGTTGATATTTTTAGGGCACAGTGGTACAGCCTGCACCTTGTATAATGTCATTCTGAAAACATTGGTAGTTAATAGGTGCCACAACATTGCACACATGGAAAAGAAGATGATGAAGAAGAAGGGGACACAATGGAACAGGCTGTGATCTTTATTTAGCTTTTTTTTTTTTTTCCTGAAATGCTTGGTGAGAGAAGACTATAAAAGGAAGCGAATAGAGCAGGAAGCTGTGACATCCAAGAGAACAAAGGGATTGAAAAGCAGAGGTTTTCTATTTAGGCTCAATTAGTGTAACCTGGGCTTCAGCCAGTTTAATGGAGGAAGTCATGTCTCCTGTGTTTTGGCTTACCTACGTAACCAAAGCCTTGAGCAGAATGTAGAGTTGGGCTTTTAAAACCATCAGTTAGAATAAGGTTTTGCCCTGAAGCATGTTCATCTCATGGAAGAATTCTCTTAGCTGGGCACTTGGCCAAAGTTAAGAGGACACACCATGGTTTCATGGAAGAAAAAGCTGAAGACTATGATTTTCAGATTTTGATTAATCACTTGTCTGTACTTCACTTATTTCAGTATTTCTGTCTAGGATGATAGCTTTCCTTTCCTGCAAAAAGCAGACGGATATAGTAGTAGTATATTAGAGTGACATTTTTTTCCTCTGTATTGTTTGCAGTAGGTCTAACTTTTGCATCTGATTCTTTAGGGAAAGCACCTACCAAGGCTTCCTATTACCTATTTCACAGGTAAGTGAAAGTCAGTTATAAAAATTCGATCAGAGATGAAACTCATTACACTGAGCCTGGGAGGCATAAATATTACAAATGTAGGTAACTGTTGATCTTTTTAGTCATGGGAGCTTAAAAAAATGGACACATCAAATAGAATTTTTTCTCCTAATTTCACTGTTTCGTGTATATTATAAATTTAGATATTTCTTTTTTATCATTAAATTTAAAAGACATAAAAGAAATGGAGCCTCAAAAGTAGGTCTAGTTACTGAGACTGACCAGAGATACTTAGAAAGAAGATATTACCCTTCAATGTTCAAAGCCTGGCATTGTAATCTCTTTGGAAAATGCAGTGTTTTTCAGACTCTAATCCAGATTCCAATGGCTATTCTGTGCCCAAAGACCAATTACTATTTTGGAGTTCTCTTAAAGCCAGATGATGCTTTGAGGGGGCCATCAGGACCTTAAGGAGACCACAGGGGACTGTCTCAGTTTGTCTTATAATAAATATCTCGGCAGAATTAGGGCTGGGATAGTTCTGTAGATCTTGCCTTACTTTTGGAGTTTAATCTTTATGTGTTCAGTTTTGGGATATGTAAAAAGCCGGCATTTTCAGCTAGGAAAATTTTAATTTCTGTGTTAGGAAATTTTAATTCTACGGGGAATTACCACACTTGGAGTTGTAAAAAACAGATGAGCTCATGCGTCAATTGAGACCCATCTGCATTGCTGCTACTCACTTTTCCTTTTCTTCTGAAGAAAATGAAATTGTCCTAACACCCCAAATTAATGTATTTGACTATAATAAAATCAATATAAGCATACGATATAAAAACATAAGAAGTCCAACATCGAGGGGAAATGAAGAGAAAATGAAACAAGGGATTTGCACTTCATATGGTATACTAGTACAGACTGATTAATTCTTAATCATCTTATAACCTAGTAATGCCTAGTTATCTATCATATATTCTACATGTACCTATAGATCCTACATATAGATACATCGGAATAGCTGATAACCAGCTTAGCAGGTTATACCATTATTAGGGTGACCAACTTGTCCTGACTAGCCTGGAGCTTTCTCTGTTTGAACACGGAAAAGCTCACATCCCTCCTCAGTCTTGGACAAACCAAGGCAATTAGTACTATAACCATGATGGATACTTGTAAGGCATACTGATTTAATAGTTACATTATATATTTTGTCACCTCTTCTATTGCTTATTATATTTGAAAAGGCTTTGATTTCGTGAACAAACTGCTATATCCTTTTATGTAGTGAACAAATTGAGCCCTTTAGTGAACAAACTGAACTCTTTTTTTTTTTTTTTTTCGAGATGGAGTTTCACTCTTGTTGCTCAGGCTGGAGTGCAATGGCACGATCTCGGCTCACCACAACCTCCGCCTCCCGGGTTCAAGGGATTCTCCTGCCTCAGCTTCCCGAGTAGCTGGGATTACAGGCATGCGCCACCACACCCGGCTAATTTTTTTTAATTTTTAGTAGAGATGAGGTTTCTCTGTGTTGGTCAGACTGGTCTCAAACTCCCGACCTCAGGTGATCAGCCCGCCTCAGCCTCCCAAAGTGCTGGGATTACAGGTGTGAGCCACCGCGCCCGGCCTGAACTCTTTTTTATAACATTAATTTTCTAAAGAATTTTATATAACTGTAAGAGAGGTTGAGTAAAGAAGTGTAGATTTTCATGCATTAAGTTTCTAGCACTTTGATCATGTATACTGTGGAAAATAGCAGTTTCATAGTAAATAATCACCTTCAACTCTGATCCCCTGTGTTCAGGAACTAAATTTAGAGCTCAAGTCTTATACAGAAACAGGGTAGAAATCCATATGTTAGCTGGCATGATTTTCATCACCTAACATCTGATAATCACGTCATACTGGCATTCTTTAATACTCACTGATCGCTGCCAGGACTTCTAACTTCTCTATCCTTTGCTTTGGAGTTTTTCTTCCTTTTACATCCAGCACTGTACTAAGAACTTGGGATACAAGATGGATAAGACATGGTCCTTCACGATGAGTTTTTCAGTCTAATCTATGAAGGAAAATTGCAAGAATGAATTTTATATAGCGCATCGTCAAAGCTTAGACATAGAAGAATAGCACTTAGAATGTTGTTTGCTTCATGGATTAGTTTGTTCATCTGTTTAATAAACATTTATTGAAGCTCTACTCTCTGCTCAGCAATGTTCTTGACATTGTGGATACAAAGATGAACTATACTTGGAACTTTCACAAAATAAATAGTATAAAAGTATAGCTCACTCCTCTCCAGATTGAGGGTTCATCAAGCATAAGATTGCCATGTCAGCATTTGATGCCAGTCTAACTTACCAGGACCAGTTGGGCTGGGAAAACGTCTCCTTTATAAACTCAGAGATACTATTTTTAGTTAACTATCTAATTTGACTTACTCCTCCCAAGAAGTTTATTATAAGACATGTGAGCTATTGCATGTAGGTGGTTTCCCAGACTGGCCTGTGCAGTCAGATGGAAAGAATAGAGGCCTCTGGGACAATCCAGAGAAGCCGCTGCACCATGCAGAATAAAGATTTCCTATTTAAAGTTTATGTGACTGGGATGAGATTTATAAGTACTGGAACACTTTATTCATCTACTTATTCATTCAGTCATTTAATAGCTATCAAGTACCTATAATGTTTCAGACATTGTTCTAATTACTGGGAATATAGTGAGAAATTAAACAAAGTTTCCTATGAAACTTATTTTATAGTGGAAGGAGAGACAGCCAATAATTATGTAAACAAAAAAAAATCATTTTAAATAATGATCAGATCTAGGAAGAAAATAATGCATAATAAGGAGGTAGAAAATAGGGATATATAATTTAGAAAGTGCTATTTGAAATAGGGTAAGTAGGAAAGGTCTCACCGAGTGGAAGATATTTGAGCAAATATTTAAATTATTAGAAGAACCTAAGCATGTGGTGACCAGCAGGAAGAACATTTTAGGGAAAGGGGATGGATATTGTAAAGACTTTGGAGTAGGAACAACTTGAAATTTTCCAGGAAGAGCAAGAAGAAATGTGTGGCTCAAGTGGACCAAAGTAAGAATGATCATGTAGATAAGTAGGGACCAGCTCACACAGGCCATGATAAAGACTGACAGAAAGCTATAGAGGATTTTTTTAAGCATGTATGATCTCATTTACATATTAAAAGAGTTCCAGGGCTACACTGTGGAGAACAGTCTACAGGGTCAGGGTGATACAGGAAGAGCATGTAGTAGTTATCATAGTAGCCCAGTTATGCAAAGGGCAATGGCAGTGGGGAGGGGATGAAAAGTGGTTCAACTCTGCATAACTTGAAGGTAGGGCTGACAAAAGTTGCTGAGGGTCTCAATGTGGTTTTACATGAGAGAGACATCAGGTGTGATGAATTTCAGGCATTTCACCCCAGCCACTGGATAAATGGCAATATCCCATGGAGTTGGGAGCTATAGGGGATATGGAGAAATGAGCAGATTTGGGAAAGAGATGATTATGAGTTAGTATTGGAGAATGTTGAATTTGAAATTCTTTTCCAAATAAAGAGATGTAGTAGGCAGTTGGATACATGAGACAGGAGTTCAGAGGAAGGATTAGGACTGGAGATTCAAACTCTGTTTTTATTTCTGCATATGTATTTTCTTTACAGCATAAGCCTACAGGGTACGAAGAATGAACTCTGAGAATGTTTGGAGGTAAATATACATGTCCCATATTATATGATGATGAACATGCAAGTACTGGTCTCAATTCAGTCTGCTATTTTTTAAAATTCCCTGATATACATTGCAAAGAGGTACCAACAAAACCATGTGAACACTTTCTAAGGGCACATATGGTTTATGATCATATTGAGTTGTAAGACAAACAAATTATTGTTTCATATTGATGTAAGAGTAGAAATAGGGGAAGACACAGATTCTGTAGTTTAATGTGTAGGAAAAATCAATGTGAATTCATAGGAAGGTGAAACTCTAACCCATTGTTGGAATTAGTGAAGATTTAAACAGGTAGTAAGGAGCAGTCAGGGCATTCAAGATATAAAGTCATAAGTAGATTGTACAAAGACATAAACTAGCTTTCTCTTTATGACGGAGCAAGGATGGAGAACAAGGACACCGGTCTAGCATCAGCAGAGTGTATATGTTTGTGAAGTTAAGGGAGATGAATTTATAAAAGTTGGCTAGAGCTAAGGGATTTGAACTTCCCCAGTAGCCCATTGGTTCTCACCTCTAGTATAATTCAGAATCACATTTGGAGCTTTCAATGAAGATGCCTGGATATTACTTCTGGAAGTCCTGATTATAGGTTATGGAAAGGCCCTAGCACTTGTATTTTCAACAGGCAGCCTATTCCAGAACATTTGCCCCTCCTAAAGCTGTGGTTATTTACTAGAATTAATAGTCCTGTGTGAGTAGCATGTACTGGATTGATAGGTAGAGTTGTCTCTCCCTGCACCAGGTGCTCATGGATCTTTACTCCAGTTCATTCTTAAGTGTCATGGCTCGGATTTTCTCCACATCTCTGCCTAAATTTTCAGCCTTTCTCTGTTTTATAACTTGGAACTACCTTGGCCTTTTAAGGCTTCCTTCATTTTCTTTCTATTTGTGGTCTCTTGCACAATTACCTATGGTCAATTGTGGGTGTAGGGGTGAGTAAGAACCATGAGAGGGGTGGTGTCTCTTACAAAGAACTGTGAGAATGAGAAGAACTATGAAACTGTTCTGCTGCAGGCCTAAATAATATAACTAATTAATACTATGGAGGCTGAATTGAAAGCAAAATATAGGACTTAAAGAGAAATTGGTATTTTTTCTAAGCAGGAACCTAAGATTAAAACCACAGATTTAATAAGATTTTTTATTTGTTTAATTGGTAGGGTATCTTTTATAACTACATAGTCCCAAATACTTAAGATTTTAGAATGCAACACATACATCTATAAAAACAGGAGAAGGAAGACTTCTAGAGACAAAAGAGTGCCTACAGAGGGTCACTTTTAGGCCTTTAGAGAAGGAAGGTTGGTATAGATGAATATTTTAAGTAATATTTTACTATGAAATAAATGTGCTTTTATTATGGAAAAGTTCAAATAAACAAAAATTATTTATAATTTCTCTACCCAGAAACAAGCACTTCTAGTGTTTTCTGGTCTTTTTGCACTTTGTGTGTACACAACTATCACTTCTTAAACAATATTTAAGTTAACAATATTTAACTTAGCAATATTTACTTAAACAATATATTTTCCTGTACATATATTGTTGGTTATATGCCTTTTCACTTAACAGTATTCCAAAAACATTTCTTCATGTAATTAAGTGGTATCTAAAATATGATTTCTTAAACTGCATAGTATTTAAGTCTAGGAATGTACTGTCATTTATTTAATCAACTCTCTATTGTCAGACAAGGTTACCAGTCTTTCACAATTATAAATAATGCCATGGTAAACATTCTTGCTTCTAAATCTTTGTGTAGATCTTTGAGTAATTCCTTTAGATACATTCCTAGAGGTGAGATTTCTGGGTCAACAGTCTTCATATATTTTTTAAATTTTTGATGCATATTGCTAAGATGCCCTCCAGAGCATTTTGCCAGTTTTATTTTTTCGGTGGTAACATCTTAAAGTTTTCTTCCAAAAGTGATTTGATTCAAAGCCATGCTGTTGCTTTTCTCTGAGTCCTTTCTGGTCCACCAGTTATAGCAGACTTAATTTAACTCTTACCTTAAGGTTAACACTTAGAGTAACCAAAACATTTTTGTAGTCATTTATGCTGCAAATGAGACAGTTTACAGAATATAAATTGACAGTGAGATTAGATTGCGTTTCTTTCTTATGCATGTTCTGTACAAGCATTCTGCTTATCCTGGATAACAAACAAATAACAAAAAGAAAGAAAAAACCTTACCTCTCTTGCTTGTCCTAACTGAACACTCACAATGCATTAGGCATTGAACTGAACGTGGAGGAGATATGATTCCTGCTTTCTGAGACTTTGCAATTCCAAGTACCATGATTGATAAGGTACAATATAAATAGTGGGCTTCTAGGACAATGCCCTGTGGTTAAAAGTAATTAAGTTATATGGTGCCAGCAGACTACAGGATACTTGTGATCCACATATGCAGGTGGATTGTGTGCATCAGTCATGATATCTGTGGAATCTGAGAGACGGGAAAGGCATACCTGTTTTAACTCCAGAATAATATAGAGAACTCAAATTCCTGCCCAGGCAAATAGGGATAAGTTGTAGACTGCAAATAGAAGATGGATTGTGGGGAGGAAAAAAAAATCTACTAGTTCCCGCTTCTTCCACTGTGTCCCCTCCAGGGGACACTCATAGGTCAGGGTCCTTCATGTGGTAGCTTTGAGTTCCCGACATTTTCAAAACTGTTCTAGGGAAAGGGTCGGGCATGTATATGAAGACTATTTTCTTGTGAGCACAATGGGAGAATATTTGAAACTGGGACTCTTGTGAAAAATCAGAAAGGTTGCCAGTGTACCTGGGCCTTCCTATTGTCTTGAAGTACTGTGGTGGACTTTGTCATGCTTAAAGGAGGTGTGATTGGGGGTAGGGAATTGCTTGACTGAGAATTAAAGAGTGAGAGCTCCTGTCCAGTTGCTTAAACTGAAAAGGATTTCTGACACATATTTGGTTAGCAAAAATGACTGTGAGTTAGTGGGACAATTGTAGCACTGATGTAAAAATTCCAAATAGTCCTTCCGAATAGATATACACACATTTAGAAAATGCATTATAAATGACATATAGCAAAAATGTAAACAAGCCATTTAATAACATTTTAATGCTTGATTCTGATCTCTTAATTAAAATGTGCATAAAAGAAAACAATGGTGGAACATCTGTGTGTGTTATTGGGATAGCAGGATTTATGCTGCACCCTGGGCTTTTTGTTCGCTTTTCAGTGTGTGTGAATGTGGGTGGGTTTCCTCTTTGAGCCACAGTTACCCATTTGACCCCCACAGGGTCTATATTCCCACCCACCTTCTCTTGGCTGTAGTTGCACCCCCTTTTTTTCCCCTCTTACTTAAAATACTGTATGGTTTGTTCTTTGCTTAAATTAAACTACTCTCGTCATTTGATCTGAAAGCCACTCTTCACCCCACCCCTCTAACCTGAAACCGTGACCTAACCCTGACTCACCCTTGTTATCTCAGCAGATGTACACAGCATTACCTAATGTTTTGGCCTCAGTGAATAATCTCAAAGAGCTTTGGGGAAAGTGTGGCCTTTTGTATCTGTGACCTTGCAGCAGTTATTCCTTAGCTGGACACTGTGGGATTTAGATGTTAAAAACAGACTTTCTACTAACCCCTGCTGGTGATTTCTTTATTATTATTACTGATTTGGAGGATGTATCTCTGAACCCCATTTTGCCCAACTGTTAAATGAGAGTGCCAGCAATCACAAAAAGTCAAGGGTTATTAAGTGCTTTAAAATCGTCCACTGAAAATGTTACACTGTGATATGCTTTTATTTCCACTTTTACATGGAACACATGTGATCACCAAAAAGTTTGTCTTTGATTAAAAAAGCATAAAAAGTACCTCACATCTTCTGTTACTCCCAGCAGATTTATGTATCATTAATACAAGAGAAAGTCACACACAAATAGACTTCTTAAATATACAATAATTAATATTTAATGCCCCCTTTTATGAGGGGGTCTTTGTGCTGGGATGTCTCTAATCTTCACAACGTTCCTGCAAAATAGGTGGTTTTATTCTTTATTCCACAGGTGATGAAAATGAGGTTTCAGAATCATTTAAGTGATGTGCCTACAGCTTTATTGTTAATAAATGGAAAACCTGGGATTCAAACTCAAGTCTGTCTCTCTCTCTCTCTCTCTTTCTCTACATCATATTCTTCCTATAATATCATGACCTATATGGGAGTATGGTAGCTCCCATTTCCTATAGACCGTGGCTAGATGGTGTTATGAAAGAGTTAAGTAAAATGTGCCATTTGTGACAAATGTCTGAAAGTTGTTTTTATAACTAGGATTTAATTCACAAATGAAGAGTAATTATCAATATGGCACAGATGAAGAGCTGCATGTATGGATCAGTATAATTTCTGTTCTTTGGCTTATGGATGCAGTATGCCCCAGGGAGTTTCACAAATCCACATGACATCTCCCAGTGCTGGGTTCTGGGTTAGCTGGCCAAAGTGTAAAATTCCTCCGTGTTCGGATGGCTCACAACTGGTTACTATCTGAAGAGATTTGTATAAAACTACCTACCATACGTAGACTTAGTTTCTTTTCTGAATTTGTCTCTAACACTTGAGTGGGGAAAAAAATACCAAATTTTGATACTGGGTTTGTTGTTTTTAATGGGTGTTTGTTTTTGGAAGTGTTGTGCCAAGAGAGGAAGAAGAAGTGGGTGTGGGTCTTTCTTCCTTTTGCTATTTTCCCTTTGCCTTCTTGTGGTCTTATTTCCAATCTGATTCTATATTATCAGTTTGCCATAATCCTTTGCAAAAGACATAAAATGTTCATAGACTGGAAGTTATTAAGGCTTTAAATCACATCACACTATCATTGGAGTAATTTTGGGGGGGAATTTTGCATATTTCAGTTCTCTAGTATAGGGCATGTGCTGCATACTAGGGATGTAACTTATACCTGCTCTACTTCCCTTTATTTTTTTTCCTCAGGCTGAGAGAACCTTTAAACTTGTTATGTGTTCTGAAACAGATCAAATATTAGATTTCTAAGACTATCAGGCTGTGGTGGTGAGGGAAGGGTTAGTATTATATACAAATATGTATTAGGGAAGGCATCATAGTTAAGTGAGAAAAACATGGGTCTTGAGTATTATGGGAGCTCAGCCCTTTTCCTTACTAGCTGTGTAGCTTTGAGTGAGTTATTTAATTCACTAAACTAAGATTTTGAATAATAATACCTACTATATAGAGATATTTTACAGATTAAATGGTATAGTACATATAGAATATTTAGAACAGTGCCTGACCCTGAGTGAATGTTGTTTGTTTACATTTCACACAGCAAGAAAAGGGAAAAATGGGAAAGAGTGGCAATTAGAAAATAATGATATTGGGTTTGAAAAAATTGTTTTCATCCTTTCAATTCAGCATAGTAGTAGAAAGAGCATTTGTCTAGCAGGCAGAGACTTGGGTAAAACTTCCAGCTCTGCCTCCAGAAAGCTGTAAAATCTTTGCTGTTCACCTTAGTATCTCAGACTCCTCATTGCGAAAATGAGAGAGTTAGAATTCATTATCTTGATTTAGTCATATACTTTTGCCTTCAGAAGATTTTTCTGCTTCTCAGAGTAGTCTATGACATATCATTCAACAGTGTATAAGTCTCAAAGGCCAACAGCCAAGTATGGCAGACAGGGCTGTTGTTAAGATATTCTTTTTCCTGTGTAACTATGTTTACATGTTCATTTATGTTCTTTGTATATTTGTCATGTGCCTGAATATTTATGCACCTGCATGGTTGTTGAAGTAAGCTCACTAGCATACATTCATACATTTTTGTGGGTATGTGTGTTTATATATAACCTATATATATATATACAGTATGTGTGTATATATATAAATATATGTCTGTGTGTATGAGAAACAGATGCACTGTAGGCAGATAAAGCAGATAAATATAGATCCAAATAGAAGCATAAGCATATAAATATAGACGTTATATAGAGTGAAAGCAAGCAGATCAGCACCATTTCATTATTGCTTGAAGTCTTTGTAATAAAAGAGTTAGAAATCAGTAACTGACATTGAAATTATTGACTGAATGACACTGTCATATCAGAAGGCTCAGTGTGAGGTAAGAAAATAACCTTTCTTTCAACTTTGAGGAGAAATTAGCAGGAAGATTTATTACTGTTAATTATTTGATTTAGGAAAGTTTTTAGGTGCTGTGTAGTGTTGTGTTTTTAAAAGTACAGAAATGTCACCACTCCTAAAAATACTGCCATACAACAAAAAATAAATAAGAAAAGAATATCTATTCCAGTCTTGCAAAAAGATTTGGCAAATGTGACACCTGGATCCCTTTCGTCCACAGGCTGTGATTTGCAACTCTTGCCTATTTCTACATATAGACAAATGAGTTGGTTTCGTTCTACAGTATTTTCTACAAGCCCCTCTGAAGTCTTTAAGGAAACTCACCTAAAGGAGATATCTCAGGCTAAAGTGACCATTGTTAAGTTATTGTCATGGGGACACTTGCAATTGTCTTTAGTGAGTGTGTTGTGTGAGTAAAACTGGGCTTCCATCTGTTACTTTCATATCACTGTCTGTTTTTACCAGTCAAAATAATTGGTTGTGAGTTTTTGCTTTATTTTATTTTGTTTTAGTGAGAAGGGTATTGTGAGTTATTTTTAGCTAGCTAATTTACTTTTTAATGTTGCAAGTTATATCTTGCTCATGTGTTTGAATGCTATTTGAATAAAAAAAAAGTAGTCCCTCCATTTTCCCTCTCTAAACCTCATCTATTTCCCTAGCAGATCTTATCTCCCCTTCAGCTTGTTGTAGGAACATTCAAAGAAGCTAAAATTTGAAGAAATTCCTTGAAATGTACAAATACAAAGCCTGCTTTTTCCCAGTACCACAAAACTGCCAAAGTTGTTGCAATTGCTTTTTCTGTCATTAGTCTACCATTGCTTTTCCTTACAGGGATGAGAGAAGAGGGACCAGAATACGTGTTCCTCCTAACTTCTGCTCCAAATCAGAGTTTAGACTAGAGGAAAAAAAGGAGGGAAGGGCGAAGCAATAAAGACTTATTGAATGTTAAGGAATGAATTGGTGCTTCCTGAAGAACTGTTCATTCTTCTTCTCTCAAATCTGGCTTCAGTTACTTTGTTGTTAAGTTCTTCACCAAATTATGATTTTAAAATATTTTTAAAGAATGACTCAGTGGTCTTGAGGATCACACACACACTCTCTCTAACACACACACACACACACAAATTTGTGTAAGATTCATTTAAAAAATTGCATTGTTTGAATAAAATGGAGTATACTTTTCAATTTATAAATTATTTTGAACGAATACTTAATGTAATGTGTAAAGTTGGCATACTCTACAGTGTTTCAGACTACAGATTCTTTTTTAAATTCTGTTATTTACCTGATGAGCTCTAAGGTTAACTTGAACAAGTATTTATTTATTCAAGAGTATTATAGTATATCTACATAAAACGATTCAGCAAAGATTTTAGAAAAATAATCACTTGCCAAAATAACATAGTAAAAGTCCTTTATCTTTACATACACACACACACACACACACACACAATTTAGACTAAAGCACTATGTCCCATTTAGCTTAAAAAATGTTTTAGGATTAGATTTCTGAGGGAAGTATGTACATACACATACTCCTCTTTTCTTGTTCTTTGTTTCCTTTTCTCCTGGTGTAACATATTTACTGTTTAGCTTTTGTCAAATACTTTATAATAATTACCAG
This sequence comes from Homo sapiens, assembly GCF_000001405.40. Lineage (NCBI taxonomy): Eukaryota > Metazoa > Chordata > Mammalia > Primates > Hominidae > Homo > Homo sapiens. The sequence continues at coordinate 114,702,493 of NC_000003.12, read as the reverse complement.
AAATTTTGACAAAGACAAAAAAATTCATCTGTGTATGTGTATATTTATAGGTTTATATGCACATAGACACACACACACAAACACACACATCCAGATTGAAATGTTAATGTTGTATTAATCATCTGATTTTTGGGGGTGGAGGGTTTGAGACAGGGTCTCGTTCTCTCGCTCAGACTGGAGTGCAGTAGCACGATCATGGCTCACTGCAGCCTCGGTCTCCTGGGCTCAATCAATCCTCAGCCTCAGCCTCAGCCTCCAGAGTAGCTGGGACTATAGGCACGTGCCACCATGCCTGCTAATTTTTTTTTCACTGTGTTTTGTAGAGATGGGGTTCCACCATGTTGTCTAGGCTGGTCTCAAACTCCTGGGCTCAAGCCATGCACCCACCTCAGCCTCCCAAAGCGACTCCCATGGTGACGATAGTCACCATGCCTAGCCAATCATCTGATTTTTTTTTATGCATTATGTTTTAAAACTTTCTCCTAATATAAATCTTCAAAGGAATTTTTGTAAACATTCAAATGTCTGGTCTCATTTAAAGGTTTCTAGGAGATTGTGCATTTTCTTATCTAAGACAAAACATTTTCCAAATATGCATTTGGATATTTGCATATGAATAAACAGGGATTTATCAGAGCCAAGAGCAAAGCAAGAATCTCTTTTTAGGAGTCATTTACCCTTTCTACCTCCTACTTGGAGCATGAGGTAGCTCTCATCATTGGCATGGAGACTTTTTTTTTTCAGTTAGATGGTTTCATATTCTGTTCCTGGTGTTGCATTGCATTGCAGTACATATGGGCCTGGGAGTCAAACAGATCTTGATTCAAACCTCACTTCGCAACTTTTTAAATTAGCTCTGTTTCCTTACGCAGGTTAGCTAACAGCTCTTTAACTATGTTGCTAATCTATAAAACATGGGCCACAGCTACTTCACTGCAGGTTTGTATTAAATGAAATAATATTAATGGAATATATGTCATGTAGTATGTACTCAGTAAATACCAGTTTCCTCTGGCCTGTTAATTTTAATATATAGCTATGATTTCCTCCCCAATCCCTCTACATCATGGTGGCACATAGCATTACACTATAGGTATCAGATATTGTAGACAATGCTAAAGAAATAGGAGCAAGAAATTTTAGAAATTATTGATTATCTAATACTGACCCTGGGAATGAGCTTATGAGGAAAGAAATCTAAGGAAACCATCAGAAATTCCTGTCTCCTATAATTGTAATGTTTCCTACAATAATGAGTTAACAAACAGAAGTGGGAGATTTTTCAACACGGTGTTGCTGAAAGCCTATTCACATCAATACAGTGGAATGGAGTGATGTACATTAAACCTTATGAAATAATAGGAAATCCTTTTATTGCCCATTCATATGCCAGGTTAATGTGCTTCATTCCACAGTGGATGTTGCTCACCTTGGCTCACTCTAGATTAAGCTCATTGATTAACTACCCTTTGTAGGGGAAGGGTCAGAATACAACTCTCATTGAAATTATTAAATAGTTGCTATGTGTTTTCTTTTTTAAGAAATAGGAGGGGAGAAACACCTCCCACTCTAAGATACTTGGGGCTGCATTTCAGCCTACAGCTGATCATTTTAACTGAATTACAAACCCCATAAGCATAAGGTTTATAATGGAAACAATGACCCAATCTTAATTACAATGATTTTGGCAGCAATGTCCCTGCTATCCAGAGACTACTTTCTCATGTCAGAGGACTCTTTTAACCTCCTCAGAGTTCTTTTTCTGTGTAACTACAATTTTAGTGTGCAGGTCTTTCTGACTTTTTTTGGAATTGAGAGAGTTTGACCACATTAAGCCAAGGAGATTTCTCTGAATCTCCTCCTGCTGTGCCGTAATCAGTCTCAAATATCAATAATGTAGAATGGAAAGAAAGAAAAGGGAAACGAAAGGTGTCCTGATGTAGTGGAAAATGAGTGGTCTGGAGATCATGAGCCTTTGCTCTCTGTCTTTGATGAGATACTTTGAAATGCTAGCCCCCAAGTTTTCATATTGATAATATGGAGGTCTAGACAGCTGTAACTTTCTATAGGGAAGCCTATAGCTGTAGTTTACTCTGTTTGTCAATATCTTATTGCAGTTTTGTTTTAAATATAAACCAAAGGCCTATTTATTATAATAATACTAAATTTACACTTTTTCTTCCTTTGTAGTTTCTGAGGATATCACATTAACAAGGAAATTATTTCTGTGAGGAACAAGAATAAATAAAAGTTTGATAAAAAGATGAAAAGAGAGAGAGAAGGAAGAATATGAAGTCAGGAAGGGCCATATATGAACTAGACACAGAGTACAAGTGAGAGGACAGGAGGCAAAGACTCTAAAGAGTCAAAAATTAAGACAAGGAAAAGGAGAAGCAACAATTTGAACAGTAGGCTCACATTTAAGATAAAAAAAAGTATAAGATAGCTTTGAGGTGAACATTTTACATAATGTAAGAATTCCTTGTCTTATAAAAGAATCCTTTGAAATCTTCCCCTATGGCATTTAAAATAAGATTGAATTTATACAACTTTGATTTAGTCTGTGCTGTGAAAAAAATGAACTGTGAGCTTTAGATACTAGTCCCAGCTCTGCCTCAAAATATATGCTTTTGAGAAAATTAATTCTGAGTCTCAGAATCTTCATATATAAAATGAAGAAGAACAGGTAAGTTCTCATCCACTTTTAAGAATCATGAAATGAATGATCTTGTTGACATATTGCCAGAATGCTTATTGAAGGAAGTTGCTGAATCCGATTACATTAAATAGATGACCAAGAGAGAGAAATAAAAAACTTTTTGAAGGTTTTGACTAATATCTACATGCTCAGTCCTACAGAATTAACAAGATGGTAGCCCCATTTTTTAAAAGAATATGGCTACTATTGCTAAACATGCTTTAAGTTGAATCTTCGCTGGAATTTTTGAGAAATTGTAGTTGCAATTCTTTTTCTAAAGGTCTTATTCTCCAATTAACTGAAAGATGGCATTTCTGACTTTCTAAACCAGAATTTTTTTTTTCCAAAAAAAAACTGTTTAACCAAGAAAATGGAAATCAGTACATTCTTGGTGTCCTTCTAGTAATTTAAATTTGTGTAACCTAATCAAAACTCCACCTGCCTTGCCCTTCAACAAAAAGCCATATTCTCTTCCATTACTAAATGGCTACATTTGTCTCAGTATTTTTTAAAAGATGAATTACGTTGATATCCCATGACTTTTTCTTTAGAATGTGTCCATGGAAATTAAAATAGACTTTTCTGTGCCCAAGACTGAAATGAAAGACAGCCCAAAAGGGCTGGTGGAAATGAACACAAAACTTTGCTGATGTTATCAGTATTATAATTTTTGTTAAGCTTTTTCCTAATAAAATGGAACTGAAGTCAACTGACCCCTAAATAACTGCCTGATATTTCTCTTACAGTATTATTTTGTGTGCAGATTAATGATAGAGCAATATAGCCTAAGATTTCTTGTAAAACATCGGAATATATTTTTTCAGGCCTTTCTAGTGCATTCTTTCTACAGAGATATTTCTCCCATCATCATTTTTCAGTTTCAATAAATATTTGCTGAGTATAGAAAATGTGCCAAGCACCATGGCAAGTGCTAGGTATACAACTGTGTGCATACCACCATGGGTCATTAAAGCATCTTTGACAAGTGGACAGAGTACGCATCTGTTTAATATTTTCTAAGCTCAGATGGCTGAAAAGAGAAGACAACTGGATGACTAGAAACCCCAACTCTTGTTCTTTCCTTTGGATAACCTCCTGTGATTTTTCCCAGTCATCATTTGCAAACACACATTGAGGGAGAAATCAAGTTCCCTGCCCAGCTTTTCAGCTGATTACTAAAGAGAACTTCTCTTTCTCTTTCTCACCTTAGTGGTTGTTCTCAGCCATAGGAGGGCACTCAGGTACAGGAAGGACCTGTACCTAGCAGCAGAAACAACTTCACCCTTTCTTTCTGGTCCACGCTTTGGGAATTCATTATATGGCATGGGAAGCACTGAGCAGCATTCAAAGACTGAGAATGCTACAGGCATTCCACCCAAACAAAAGTAAAAGGCTCTCCATAGACATAAGAAATTATTTAAATTTCTTTATGAATATTGTTCCTCAATTTAGCGTTCTTCCTCATTTTGCCTATTTCTCTTTTATTATCCTATATTGGGCTGTTTTGTTCAGCCAAACAATTTGTAGCATGTCTGTTTTCAAAGTAAAATAGTGATATATTTAAAGTTCTAAATGTGTTCTTTATGTATTTTTAAAGGAGATGGGTAAAATAGAATGTATTTCTCTTTACCCTGATGACATTCCCGTGATATATTTCAAATAATATTTTTGATTGGGTAAGCCAGTAGGACCAAATCCATGGTGATCACAGATACAGATTCACAAATGCATAGAGAGAATCATAAATAGATGCATATGGAGGAGTCTGACAGTATAGTGAAATTGGTTTCAAGTAATTTGACACATTAGAACTTTCAGGCATTCACCTGCCAGTAATCCTTATTAGAAATAGGATTGGAATATTGGGGTCACCAGCTCAAGACCATTTTTTTGTGAGAGCTGAACAATAACCAAAAGTCAGAGCTATAGGAATAAAAATGAACCTATTCCAGTCATTAGAACTGTTTCTCTGAATAAGCTCTTTCTTCCTCTCCTTCATTCCTATTTTTTCCTCTCCCTATTTCTCCCTTTCTCTTTTTCCTCCCTCCCTCTCCTGCTCCTTTCTTTTTAGTGTTCTGAATTCATTAGATGGCATAGTGTAAATCAATAGTAAACGCTAACCGCCTACTCTGTACTCAGTTACGCAACATCACTTAACCGGTACACAGAGACAAAAAGGGAAAAAGCACACACAGCCTTTACATTCAAAAGCTCTTGCATAATTTTACTTTTCCACAGCCAAAAAGAAAAAAAAAAGGAAATAACAGATGGGGAAACTTACAGTTTTTTTTCCCTTTTCTCAGACTGTTTAAAAGGGAGTTAGTTAACATCCATGGCCCTTTCTAGTTGCCCTAGGCTGCAGCAAAATGTCCCATAATTGTCAGCACCTTAACTGGCTTTAAATGAGACATCGTGACCTGTATGATGGGTTAATTTTCCAGGTAATATAAGGCAACTTATTTTGAGATGTTTTGACTTCGTTTTTACTTATTTTGTGAAAAACCAACAACATTTAAAGTATGAAATGAATTTTAAAATAGAAAGAGTATAAGGAAGACGGGTGTGTGTGTGTTTGTGTGTTTTCACTTGAAATGTATCCTGATGTAATATTTATGTAAAAAAGCCAGTTATATAAACCCATCTTTCTCTTGCTTTTTACTTTGGGAGCTATATAAAGCTCTAATGCTTTTTTTTTTTTCTTTTTTTCTCTTTCTTCTTCTTTTTTTTTTTTTTTAACAAAGTACATTCAAACTCCAAAGTCTTAATGAAAGAGAAAACATCTAGATGCTACAACAGAGACAGTTAATTCAGACTTCCTATAGAATTCATCATCTAAACAACAGTTTTATTTAAGAAGGAATAGTTTCTGTAATTCTCATTTAGAGCTTTCTGTCACATTTCTCCCTGGAACACCTTTGGTTTCACTGTACTGCCTTCTTAATGTCTCAAATGTACAATAAATCTCTCTCTTTCTCTCTCTCTTTTTCTCTCGCTCTTTCTGTAGCCCTTCGCTCCTTCCCACAACCCCCTCCCCCTTTTCTTTCATTGGAGTAACTCCCTTTCCACCTTAAGTGGGAGCACAGTGAGATTTGTATGCAATTTATAAGTCCTTCATCCCTGTTGTAATATTTGGTTTTGCTTAACTGACTGGTGTCCTCTGGGAACCAGGCATTTGTCTGATAAGGGAGGTTGGAGGGATTTTTTGTTTTGTTTTGGTCTTCCTTTTTAGTTTCTGCCTCTCAAGCGGTCATAAAATGGATATAAAGTGATAGCACAGCCCTAGGCACTGTTAGGCATCTCTTAGAAGAAATTAAGTTCAGGTGTGTGAAGGGTAGCAGCAGTGGTGGTAGTTTTGATTGTTTTTAATACAACCAGAAAAGGTGGGAGGTGGGTGGAAGAGAGGATGGATGCGATCATTAGTGTGTGAGGAGGAACTATTGAAGCGCTTGATCTCCTTGTATCTCAGATCAGCATCATTCTTTAAGATCATACTTTACTTCTGGATATTAAAGCCATAAGAAATTGGTTCATTTAATTTTACTAAAGTTATGAATTTGTTTAACACTGTCTTATGTGTTAACTATTGCAATTTAGAATTCCTTTGTATGGAAAAATCTGGTGCACAAGATAAAAATCAAAACTATTATTGCCCAAATGTGAGGTTCTCTGTTTTAACAACTGGGTGATCGAGATTATTGGTATTATCCCATCTCTGTATTTGTGATGACTTGCGGAAATCTTTTCTGATCTTAATATGAATAATGACTAAGCTAGTATATATATATTTAATGTATTTTATCAATACTTTTCCATTTAGCTTTATTTTCTTAACAGGATCTATAGCTCAGATAAATTTATTACAGAGAAATAATGAAAATTGGTCAGAATATTCTAGTCTCTAACTGGGATATCATATTCCCACATGCATTTTTCTAAGGGTTCCTCTACATGTATTATAGTTGAGTTTGGATTCCAATATGCAGTTTTGCATGTAGGTGCCTGATTGTCAAAAGAAAAAAACATAAAACATTTGCACCATGTAAAGTGCATTGTTTATGATGTAATTTTAATATGATTAACAATCTGCACAAAGCTTTTTAAATGTGTAGTTCTGTATACAAGAAGTTATTCTGAGTACCCTAATTTTCAAATGGGTTGTTTAAATTTAAAAAAAAAAAACTTAGAACACAAAAGTGAGGGAGATTTGCATTTTATTGATTGTCAAAAATAGTTGAAAGTATCTCGTTATAAAAGAAGCAGAGGAAAAGTCTTTGAACTTTTTCCCTGCCTCTTGTTGTCAGAATAGCTTCCATTTTCATCTTGGTGGGTTTTCACGGTCTCTGAACCATACTAGGGCAGGACTGACCTTTCAAATCTCGATGTGTGCCAATGTAGACTTCTCGGCTCTCATTTTCTGTTGTAACCAAGGCCTTGGGAACACATTAGCTGTTTCTCATTTTTCTGTTTTTTTTTATTTTTTTAATATGGGATCCAGGCTTAAGACAGGTGGCAGGCCTAAGCTTTCTGTTACTTGGACATGCAAGAAAAGAAGCTAGGGAGAATTTTAAACAGTTTCGAATTTTTCATAAGTCTTTGACAACTCTTTCACCCTAGCTTCTCTTCTTATTGCTGTTGGCAGTAGGGATAGATTTTTTCTTTTAATGTGGCAACAAGAACCTCAGTTACTGACTTACCTTTTCAAGCAGAATCCATCCAGTTGTGTCTGGCACATAATAGTACCATCATAAATATTTTCCGTGTTTCAGTGAACTCGTAAGGGACCTGCTATGGCCAACCCTGCAGACTGCTGATGCAGGTAAGCAGTAAGCCATACAAGTAATAAAGGGTAAGAAGAAATCTGATACAGAACTCTTCAGACTGTAGTAGTGGACCAATCACTTCATTTTATGAGAAAGGCCTTTTTATCCTTTCTGCCTTTATAAAAGAAGCAAATTTCAGAAGACAATTTTACATCTTTCCTAGAGGTTCTTTTTAGGGGTCTGTGCTACATAGACTGTTGGCTGATTTAACAAACATAATTTTTGGCAAGCTACTTTGGTGATCCTCATTAAGTTTCATATGCAAATGTGTTAGATACTTATGATTCTAGCTATCGAGTATGCTCCTCATGCACTCTGCCACAGGGTCCTTTGAATCTTGGCTTTTCTCATTTTCTCTGGACAATTGTTTTTGGACTTCTTTTGTTTATATAAGTCCTAGGATGGTAACTATAAAAAAAATTCTATAGGGTTCTTCTTTTATACAGTGTTTCATTACTTTTAGCTACACGAATTCCTGATTTTTCTAAATCCATTTTGGCTTAAAGTAATCATGCTGGCCATTTTCAAGGCTTTCATTGTGGTAGTGATATTGGGGGTGCTGAGTGATCTTTGGGAAAACCACCTGTAGCTTCTGAATGTTAAAGGCATTGAAAAGCTTGTAGAATGATAGACTGCTGCCTGTTAGATGAGCAGTTTTTTAAATGCAGATTATATAATATTTAAAGACTTTGTTGCTCCACAGTAGAAGCTTTTTAAATGTTAATTTGGGTTTTGTTTTGTTGTTCTATGACTTCGCATAAAAGATTTTGGGTCTAAAAGGTTTCAGTTCACTCGTTCCATTTGTCTTACAAGACTTGGAATATAATATTATACATTTATTTATACTTATAAAGGAGGATAAGGCCAATAACTCACAACTCATGAAACCGAGGGTAAATAATCCATAGCTTATTCTCCCACCATTGCCACAATATTTATAACACAAATAACAAACAACTAAAAACAAAGAGAAACCAGCTTGTTTTTATGTACAAAATGTTTGATCAAAACTACAGTAAAGCTCAAATGGAGCTGCAAATCCTAGTGGTTTACAGTGGTTTGATTTATTTTTTTAAACAGACCATGGATAATTAACCATAAAACATAACCTTCTCAACACAAGTTACAGTGAATTGCAGAAATGGGCAGCAAGTCATTCATAACTGGTTGCAACTGGTTAGAGACCTTAAAGTTAAACATGCAGGCAGTTACAAAAGATACTTTCTTAGTGCACAATTCTATTTCCATTCCCAAAGGGAAACATCCTTTACTTTTTATATACTACCACTTAGTCAGTATCCCAAAGTGAGGAATAAATGGGTTATTTTCTATGATTACCATGTTATCATACATTTATTAAAATAAATACCTAGCACTTACCTGTACTCTTTTTATTTCAGAATGTTTCATCATTACTAACAGGATATTCCTCATGACATTGCTGTCTGGTAAGTAACTCTCATTATCTCTAAATGGCAGTCCAAAATATTGAGGTGCAAAGAAGTCAAATATCTTTCCATGAACCTCAGAAAATATGAGATCCAAAGGCTGTGGTGAGTCTTTGGGTCTAAACTTTAGCAATACTAAATTTTGACAGAACATATTTTGACATTGGTAAAGGACAGATCTTTAATATCCTATTTGTTCATTTGAAATACCAGCATTTAGAAGAATAAGAAACATGATCTCCAGAACCTATTATCACAGATTTTGACAAATATTTTAGAATACTCTGCTAAACAAGATGGAAGTATTCAAAGGATTTGTTTGGAAGACCCTCCAGAGAGATATATTTCCAAAGGAGACTCCTGAGTGGACAGAAAGAGTGATAGGGTGAAGTTGGCACTGATGTTTCCTGTGTGGAACATTGTATGTTTTGAAAAAACTCAAAACCCTCCAAACACATTTAGTGATACTTTGAACTACCCATTAGTATTCTATGGTATTCTGTAAATTTGAAATGCATTTGCTTCATTTGGATCAATCTTAAAATTAGACATGGTTGCTCTTGTACTTACCAACAAGCAAAAAAGGAAAATACCCTTCAAAGACATAAATAAGGCTATCCTCTTTTACCAGTTAAGTAAGAGGACCAAGACCAGGGCTACAGGTAAGCATAGGCTTGAAGATTTTTCTAGGTGTCTTGTAGTGAAAATTTGTAAAGTTTGTAAAGTTTCAAAAAGATTGGTATTGTGGCCTTCTAGAATTCTTGATATTTCCATGACTGGGAGAAGAGTGCAGGTCAAGACTGGGGGTGTATAGATAAAGTATTATCCAATCAGAGCTTGAAACAGCTGACTTTGCTAGAGGCTGACCTGCATTGAAATGCACTGGCAACTGTACTGGAGAGGGAGGAGGAGGAAAAGGGTGACTTCCCTGGCATCTAACTGTGTTCTGCCTGGCTCCATCTAGGCCTGTTTAGTCATGAACATCATATTCATCCAAACCTTTAAAAGTTACACTCTTGACTTCGCTTTATATGAACGTGCATAAACTGAGGGAAATAATCTCTTGGGGTAATAAAGATAGTTTTCTAACAGAGACTTTCCATATCCATTGTGCATAATCCATAGTTGTCACTGTGTTGTTGTTTCTGATTCTGTTGCACATCTATCTCTGTCTCTCTGAGCATATCCATCTCACCAGTGAAGGCCAGGAGCCTTCGGGATTGTAGCTCCGCCTCCCTCCCCACTCCCACGCTTTACTTGCTATGCTACCCCAAAAGAAACTCGTATTAGTAAGCCTCAGGAGCTCAAGGGAAAGGCTTATTTGGTGACTTTAATTTGTCACTCCTTTTGCATTTATCACAAAATGATCTCATCACAAAAAGGACTGAATTTCACGCTTTTGCTGGCTTGCAAACAAGCCAGTTTCTTCCCTATTGCTGTCCAACACAGAGAAAGCTCTTTATGTTTCTATGATCAGATAAAATCTGTATTGACGTTTCTTTTCCTGTGGGTGTATTTCCCTTCTAGGTATGGAGATTTAAACTATCTGGGCAATGCTGTGTGTTTGCAGTTTCTCTGTTTCAGTAAATGAAAAGCTCCTTGGGGAAGGAGAACATATCTTTTCCAGTAATGAAGAAATATTTATTTTCATTTTAAAATGATACATGCTCATTAAAAATAATTTAGAAAAACACATAGGAGTAAAATGAAGAAAAATTAAAGTAATTATTTCTATAATTTAAATCCAATCATTAATAACCATTTGATATATTTCCTTACTCTCATTTTCCCCGAGGATATATTTTTAAAACATGATGTTATCATACTTTCTATATAATTTTGTGTCCTGCTTTCAAAATTTAACCTAAGAAATATGTAATTACATAGACCTTATAAACATTTAAAATAAATATATAATATTCCTGAAGAGGAATAGCTCATTTAACCTAAATGCCCAATAAGAGCATTATTATTATTATTTATATCTCAATAATACCTTGCATAAACAGTAAATGAATCAGTCAACAAATAATAAATGAATAAAAGTTCAAATCAGTATATGTTTTTAAATTTTTTATGATAAAAAATCTTAAATTCATGAATATAAACAAATTACTATAATGAACTCCCATGTACTCATCACCAGCTTGCACAATGACTAACTGATGGCCTGTTATTTTCTCACTATATCACCATGTTATGTTGAAGCAAACCCCAGACATTGTAGTATTTAGTACATCATTATTTCAGATCCATCAGGATATTTTTTACACGTTAATGTTAAAAACTATTCAGATAAATAGTTCTTATTATTGTATATAGTAGTATTTTTCTTCATAGTATCCTGACATCATATTTTCTAACATGTAACAGTTGATTGTAAAATCTCATCAGTGAGTTGCCTAATATTCTTAGACACATCTGTAAGCCACAGGGCAATTTGGTTGCCTAGAGAAATATTTCACAGATTTGGCTAGGTTTCTTGGGGGAACTATTTTCTTTTGGTACTTTTTTTACTTGACTCAAATTTAGGATGCTAATTTGCCTGCCAGATCTATACAGCATTAATTATACTTATTATTGGGTTTAAGCATGTGTTGAATACAATTTCTTACCTGAGGTGAAAGGAAAGCATAGTCCCCTTATTACTTAGAACTCCAGTCTGGCTACAGCCAACCAATACCAGATAAATATGGCAAATCTACTTAAATCAAATGTAACACTGGCTTTAAAAGTTTATAATTTTTAATTAAGATTATTGGCAGACATGGAAAACATGTGATGGGTATGTGAGGCATTTAGAAATATGTAAAAGGGGGAATTATATAATAAAAATCTGAATCATTTTTAAACAACATGTTTGGGGGGAAAGAAATTATGCATTGTATAACAAAGGGTGCTCTCTGTGCTTGTATTATTGCTCTAGTTTATTCTAAAAATATTTAGAACCCTCTATGAGCCAGCTTCCCATGGCTAGCCTAGATCCTTTACACACAGAGTTCCACAGATGAGGAATGCTCTGTACAAATCAGGCTGTCTGTAGAGAACCTGTATCTGTAGTCTTGTGCTGTCTCACTGTCTTTGAATTGTAGGTCAGTGACTATTCAGTAGTGATGTGTTGTCCAACAGGTGTATTACACGCATCAGAAATTCAGGATGTAACTATGCAACATACTGCATCAGTATAAACTGAATTTATGTGTTACTCAGGTCTATTTAATCTTAGGAGCACATTTTCCATTGGCCTCAAAAGTGAGTAGCTAGAATATTGATGTGCCTAACCCTTGGGGAAGAAAAAAAAGTTTCCCCACCACACTAAATCTCTAGAAAAATATGAGGGTTTACAGTATGGACATATACAAAATATTTTCAGCCAAAACTGGTAGAGCAAAGCACATGGAAAAAAAAGAGAAAGTCATAACATTAGCAATAAACTATCCTGAGCAAACAGAGAGCATATATAAAATTTGTCAGATTAGATGGTATAAACAATACAAACTCTTTTTTTTTCTTTCCATTTCTTTTTCCCCTCTGAATCTTCTGATTATTTTGTCTCCTTTACTCTGGGCCTGTCATCATCATTAAAATATCAGAAAAGGTTAGAACTATATCGGATGGCTTGACTAAGGCAGGTGTCACAAGAAAAGACCAGTAGGAACTAGCCATTATACTATTTTAAAGCTGCAAGTCTTCTTCACTTTTTTCAGCATCCTGTTCTTATATGTGGTGTTAAATTATGTGTCTCATATCACATAAACCTAGAATATAAACTGCCTTTTAAAAAGATCCATAAGTTTACCCACAGTTCTTTCTAGCTTATGTATTATATATTTCACCCAAGTGAACCATCAATGCCTCATCATTCTAATAGCTGTAATAACAATAATTATTATTAATGATAGCATTTGCTTCTTGGTGTATGTACGCGTACACCTTTTTCTCTTGCTTCAGGTTTCCTTATGCTTGGCCTCTTTGGCTCTTGGTGCTAGTTCAGTTGTTGTTACATTTGTGACCTCACGTATCCTCAAGCTATAAGACATTTCTTAGAACGAACTAGTACGATACACCTTCCACCTCCTTTCCCCCAGTTAAGCTCAGAATTGTGGTTAGATGATTCTGCTTACATGAGGCAGGGAATCCTTGGCAGATACCCCCACCAACCAAGATTTTCATTTTAGACCTAAGGATACCAATACATGTCACAAAAGCAAGATAAGTGGTTTGTTCAGATCATCAGATCCCTGTTTAATGAAGCTGACATATTTTCTGAATAAACTTTATTGGATGCATAACACAGGATCATGCACAACTGCTATAGGATGGGATTTATGACATTACCGTAATGAGAGAACTTTGGTGATTCTGCTCTACCTAGAGTGGTGAAGGAAGGATAAAAACCCCACTCAAGACAAAAATATTCAAGAAAATGGTTCTGTAGTCAGCTCATTCCTTTCATGGTGGAAGTGTTAACGAAAGAAATCTTCACTTATTTTTCTCCTCTTACCTAGAGAATACTTTCTTCTTACCTAGAGTCTGTGATATGAAGAATATGCTCTGTAGATGGTCTTATCTTATGTGGATTGGTCCATGGGACACTATGCTAGGCTCCATAGAGAACTGGTTATGTATGTTCTGTCCTCCTCTATGAAAACATTCCTAACCGTACTGTTGATGTATACATTTCGGTCAAAAGTAATTTGCTTTCTGGGTATTTGATGGCCACTCTGTGAATCAACCTAATGTATTTGTGGTATGGAAATCTGTAACCTCTCAATACTAAGTTTAAAGACTCTTATAATTAATTATTGAAAGGCACTTTAGCCCTTAACTATTTCTCTCTTTGGAGAAACAAATTGATCGGTTAATCATGTCTTTGTTTATTTTTATTGTTGTTGCTGTACACATTGCACATAAAACAGGAAAGAGGAAAGGCTGTTTGTAAGAGGTAATTACAATGGCAAAATTGTATTTTCTCTAACTGTTCTCATTTTCTCATGTCTGATTATATCAAGACCTGCACTCTAGAAGTGTGTTTCAGTTTTGCTAAGAAAATGATAGAGGAGAAGAATAAATCCATTTCTATAAAGTGGTGTCAAACACAACTTGACACAGTTACAAATTTCTTTTTTTTTTTTTTCAACTTTTATTTTAGATTCAGAGGATACATGTGCAGGCTTGTTACCTGGGTATATTGTGTGATGCTGAGGTTTGGGGTATGTATGATCCCATCACCCAAGTACTGAGCATGTACTGAACAGTTAGTTTGGTTTTTTGTTGTTGTTGTTTTGTTGTTGTTTTGAGATGGAGTCTCATTTTGTCACCCAGGCTGGATTGCAGTGGTGCAATCTTGGCTCACTGCAACCTCCGTCCCCCCGGTTCAAGTGATTCTTGTGCCTTAGCCTCCCAAGTAGCTGGGATTACAGATGCGCGCCATCATACCCAGCTAATTTTTGTATTTTTAGTAGAGACAGGGTTTCACCATGTTGTCCAGGCTTGTCTCAAACTCCTGGCCTCAAGTGATCCACCTGCCTTGGCCTCCCAAAGTACTGGGATTACAGATGTGAGACACCGCGCCCGGCCACTAAGAAGACTTTGATTTCTCGTCACATCTTTTGATAATAAGGATCTGGAGCCAAAGGAGAAACAGAAACTACTTTTAAGAACTTTGGAGATCCAAGTTTAGTGGACTCTTAAGAGCCTGTATTATTTCTTGGATGACTTATCCAGCCCTTTGTAGAATCAGAACTCTCACAATTTTCTTTAAATCAAATAAAACCCAAGGGGTTAAGTGGATCTTTAAAATTATTTCCAGGTCATTCTTTCAATAAACATTTATTGGTTTATTTGTTATTATTTCAACAAACTATGTGACAGGCAAACATGAACTCATTTCTTTCTTTCTTTTTTTTTTTTTTTTTACCTTTCAACTCCTTTTATTTATTTACCTATTTATTTTCCTTAAGCAAGTAAATCTCCCTATGGATTGTTAAGGGCCCTGTGCATATTTGCATGTAGCCAAAGATTCAGTCTCTTGCAGGAACTCTGGTTGTCAACTGGTGATCTTGCCTTTGTCTTTTCTCATAGTTCTGCCTGTGGCGCCTGTCACTAGCAGTCAAATAAGGACAATTTTACCATTCTCTCCTGCTGCTCTAATTTTTTTTTAGTGCCGGTACATGAATTTGTTATTCTTTATAATTCCCTTTGAAGTTGGAAATCCAAGGGGAATCTAAAACCGACCAGATGTTTCTGCTGCTGGAAAGGAAAGAGAGTAAGGATTAAGTTTAACAAAAACTTGGTCTCCAGAAAAAAAAAAAAAAAAACATTTCAGCTGGAAATCATCTTTAAATGCATTCATTTGCTACATATCTGTTAGTTAATTTACATTTACTGGTCCTTTGTAGGCTATGTCCTCTATCAATGTACTCTGGGGAAAAATCATACATTTTGTTAACAAAAAGACCCATGCTGTGGTTTGCTCAGGCCCATTTCCCTCATGGAGTTTTAGTTCTATTACTCTGCGTATTTTTCTCACATGCCTTACACTGAAGTTATCCTGTTGCTCTTGTTGTTGTTGTTGTTATTGCTGTTGTTGTTGTTGAAGGTTCACTATCATATCACATAAAGTTTGGAGGCCATTTTAGCAAACTGATCCAAGAGGGTGAGGTCAATACAGCCTGCGGTTAGGGAGGGAAGGAAGGAAGTTCTGCCAAACTGCTTAGCCTTTATGGAGAACTTCATTCTCGTTAGAGATATGTAGATCAAAACAAGAACAAGAGTGATGAAGGCCTTCAGGGGGAATAAAGAGAAAGTCTTGTGGTTTTTCGAGGATTCAGATGACATTGCAGACAGTGTGAATAAACAGGTTGGGAAATGAAAAATGATAGAGAAAGGTATATTAGAAAACAAAAGAGAAACGGGCATATGTGAGACACATTTACAAGACCTCTCAGAATGGGTGCCCAAGGCTTCAGACCCCAATACACAAAGGGAAGAGTAATTAAAAAATAAAATTAGAGAAGAGTCTTAAAAATCAATCAGAATGTTTTGGTGGTTGGCTTAATACTTCACAAAAGCATTGGATTGAAGAAATGGATATTTTATTTGCTTGTTTCCTGCACAGCATCTCTCATACTATCCTCCTCAGTTGTTCTCTGGATTTCCTAGGCTTCCCTAGGTTTTCAGAAGGACACCAAATTCTGTGAATAACTGCTTCGCACTCTTTACCTTGCTCAGTGGATTAAACATTTGGAAACATTTCCCACACCTCACCATCACAAGGGATGAATACTCACCACTCAGAGTTTCTGTTACCCTACCCTATCTTATTTTTAAATAGAAAGTCTGAGTCCTCAGTAATTATATTAAGCTCCTTAAGCTGCACATATCAATTGCATATACCATTTTAAGCATTTTCCAGTCTTTTTAAAGAGAGAGTAGAGGAAAAGACAGAGAGAAATCACTTAGCAGCTGATTCACTTATTTTAAGCAGCTTTCTTCATTTTAAAATATAAAAAATTCAGGTCCTGGAACATTGGGTGATTTGAATGTTCTATAAAGATTTGAAAAAAGATTTTTTTAAAATTATATGTTCTACATTCAGGGACCTGGATTTTTAGTTTAGTCCTTAAAAAAACAGGTTGGTGAAGTAAAGGAGTTTTCAGTCTAAACACTTTATTTCTTCTTCCTTTTCATTTATTTATTTATTATTATTACTATTCTCTTTTGTCAAAGCATACGGTATGAAAAGCATTTATGTTGGTCTCACTACTGACAGAGCTTAACCTAATAATCCAAGACTTGGAACTTGGTGTTTCAATAAAGGAAACACTGTTTGAGGTATTTTCCATTCAAACCAGCATCAAAAGTTTTTAATTAACACCATCAGAAATTAATGGACTGAATGAATGCAAGACAGCGTTCCTACATACCCCTTTACTGGGAACAAGACAGCAAGTGGGATCCATTGTGTATGTTTGTATTTTATAATGTATTTTTATTTACTTATTGAAGCAGAGTCCCAGCTGCACATTGCGTAGCAGAGCTACAAGAGTGAAACCTGCCGAGGGCTGCTTCACTCCAGCAGTTTCATTTTGCTCACTGATTGTTGTCCTGAGTTCTTTGTGATTGTAATTGGTTAGAAAGTTTGAAATTAGCAAGTCCTTGTCAGCTCATGAAAGCTTTGAAATCATGAGGCTTGATACAGCTATCAAGCCTGCTGATGCCTAATCACTTTTCGGGCTAAGAACCTCCAGAGCGGTGAACATTCTCAGTCCCCAGGCTTTACCTCAATCACCAATTCACCACCCTCTGGAGCTCCTTGTCTTGGATGGTGGCTTTGTTTGGGGCCCTTTCTTTTCCATCACTGAAGCCTATAGCGGGATGAACAGATTTTGGACTGACTAATGGGGATGGGGGTTGTTAGGAAATGAGAGCAAATGGGAAAACAGAATGATGTAGGGGATCAAGGGAATAGGGAGGAAGGAAAAGGGGTAGAAAGAGCATAAAAGAAAAAGGAAGCGGGATATAAGATGGAAAGAGCTTTGTAAATATTGACATTTAGATTCTGTGCAACTGGATTTGATATCTCAGGATAGAACTCACTGATAGAGCCTAAATGGTCCCCAGGGCTCTTTATTTTTTCAGACTTTTTTTTAAAGGCCTGCCCACTCATTGTCAAAGGGAAGACATGTGTGTTCATATAACCTACCTACCCTACCACCTCCCCATTTGTGAGGACCAGGAATACAATATTTTCTTTTATACATTACATTAGAGGAATGAGGGGTTTATCAACTCCTCTCCTGTAACCATAAAAGTATCCATTGTTTATCCTTATGCTCTGAGTCCCCAAACCAGTTTTCTCCAGAAAACTCTTTCACAGCTTGGTAAATTTTTAAATAACCCCACCTTCATCCTTGTAGCAATGCAGGAGCTGCTCAGGCAGGGTTACCTAAAGTAAATAGATATTGTCAGCAATGATGAAATGTTTACGAATGCTTAAAGGTCTTAATAACTTTCTGTATATCTAACTCATTTATGTTCAAAGACCTCAAGCTTCATACATTTAGGTGCAACTCTTAACCTGTCCCAATTTCTCCTGTATTTTAATAAAAACAAAAATAAATACAAACCAGATACAAAAACAACACCACAAATCTTAATGCTATGAATTCAGAATGTCAGAAAAATTTTCAATAGGCCCCATTATGGCAAAATGCTGCAAAAATGCGTCAGCATTTTGGGAAAAGCTCCCTAAAGTCGTTCAACTATTTCTTCCCTGAAATATGGGAAGATGAATACATATTAGACTCCTAGAAGAAAATAATTGGTGAATGAGTGTCAGGATTTTCAGAAGCACTGCTAAAAATCTGATCTTGCCATCATAGCAAGAGAATCAGTTAAGCCTATTAACAACATGTCATTTTTCTTAGCTGGACAGTGTAGGATTTACTGTCCCAAAGTCTGACTTCATGCAGGAGTCAGAGGAGACAACTTGTTTGGAATATAATTTAATAAAGAAGATGCAGCCTAACCTTCCCCAGATCATACTTTAAAGGATGCAATATCAGACTACACAGTATATTATACACCACTGCCCCCCACCCCAAGTCTTTACAGGCTTCTGTAGCAGATATGGCTGTCAGAATCCTGTCATAGTCCCTCAGAGATGTCAGGCAGTGCTGTCATGGTCCCTTCAGCTGCACCTGAAGCCGTTCTCTGCTAACCCAGACTCCCACCTCAAGTATGCTTTTCCTTCTGCCCCAGGACCTTTTCCAATGCTGGGAGATCTCAAAAAATCTAGGATGGGGAGAGTGGGGCTTACATTAAGCCCCCAGGGCTTAATGCCCTGGGGAAACTCTCAACTAAAGGAGGAATAGAGCTGGAAAAAGAGATGTTCTAGCCTCTATTTCTTTATAATGTCTACCTCTGGAGCCATTTTGTGTAAATCTCAGAGATCCTGGCCAATCCTTATTATTGTCAATCCTTATTATTATCTTACCCTCTGAGATTACCTTCTAAGTTACTGCCTGTACTGAAGCCTTTGGAGGGAACCTAAAATGAGCCAGGTACTCAGGTTGGTTTGTTTGTATTAATCAATTTGCAGCAACTTCTTCTCTACTGTTGACTGCCCCCCATGAATTATTGTCCATTCATAGCCTGATTCCCACCTTCCATGAGACAGATTAATAAGACTCCACAACACAAATGACAATGGAATGGAAAGTTCAGAACTCTCTTTCTGTACCTCAGTGTCTAAGACATGGATATGTAAAGATTTTTTCTGGGGTATGGTGACCAAGATGATCACCTTAACATCACAAGCCTACTCCTTTTTAACCAAAATGTCCCAGTCTGGACTGAAGAAACTAAAGGATGAGGAATAGTCCAGCAAAAGGTACCTTAATTTTCCAAGTAGTTTACTTTGGCTCCAGGTAAGTACAAAAGGACATGATATTCCATGTTAGCTATATTTCTCTCTGAAAAAAAAATTCCTTCTTTTAGAAAAGTTTATCAAACATTTAATCTAGGAGAATAAACTATTGACAACTACAGAATTTGTTCCCGCAGAAAATACCTAAAGTCTCTGCTCATTTCATGTTTACTAATATTTCATTAGTCAAAGCAAGTCACTTAACCAAGCTCAAAGCCAAGAGACAGAGATATATATCCCATCTCCCACATTAACACATACTCTACTGAGAGTTACATTCAAGTCATATGGTAAAGTTTATGGATGTAAAGTTCTATTATAGAGAGGGAGTGAAGAATTAGAGAAAGTAATCCGGTCTATCACATATATTATTGGTTTGGACTCAGAAACAAATGGTTTGAATAAACAACTTAAGAAGCCTGATGAGTTATAAGGGACTTTTGTGTTAGTGATTGATACCACATTTACAATCACAGTCTCTCTAATCACTTTCAGGGGTTTTCATCATAGATTAGTTTTGAATTCATCAATTATGGTAAGCACTGAATAGAAAATAAGGGTCAGATAAAACACAGTAGGTTAGAGATGAAGAGTGCGAATTCTATTCCAGCTCTATCACTGAGGGTGAAATCTCACACATTTCTACTGATTTTCTCCCCCCTCAGTATTATGATCTCAAAAAAGGAGTACTACTCTTCTTTTTTATTTTTTCTTAGTATAGAAAGCATACAAAAGGCATTGTAGAATTCTGTGCGTAGCATAAATTACAAGAGGACGATTAAAATCCCCACAATCGTCTAGAAGTAATTTGTTTTCAAACTTTGGGGATATACCTTTCTAATCATTTTTTTTCCTGTGCATATATACCCTTTTTGTTTTTGGTAAAACACTGTGAACACTGTTTCTACTTTTGTCTCTTAAATCTGTGTTGTGAGTAACATTCTATGCCTTTAAATAATCTTCAGTGTCATTTTTGTGAAGATTTATTCCACATTCACCATCCTTTTTTTGTGAAATTTAAATCAGATGTCATAAAGTCTTTAAAAAGCAGAATTACTTTGAAAATAAAGGTATTATTATTATAGAATTTTAGAGATTAAAGAAAAAACAGAAACTAACATTTAATGAAGACCTACTCTGTGCCATGCCATGTGCTTAGAACTTTGTTTAAGCCATTTCATTTAATAACCTTTCAACCTAATGAAGCAATATAGCATGATGGTTAAACTCTGTGGGCTATAGGCTGTCAAGTTCAGCTGCACAGCGGCTAACTAGCTTTATGACTTTTCAAATGTTTATCTTCTTTTTGGCTTAGTTTCTCTGTTACAAAGTGGCAATAATAATAATAGCACTCACTTCCAAAAGATTGTTGTAGGATTAAATGATTGGATAGGTTCAAAATGTTAGGAACAGTAGTATTCAATAAACATAGTTATTATTTGCTATCTTTCCCACTACTCCATAAACCCTCTATTAAAATACAAATCCACATTGATTTTAACTGCTTTGGTGTAGAAGTGGATTCTAAGAAGAGGCAATGTGAAATAAATGGAAAAGCCAAGGATTTTATGTTTTTTAATCCTGGCTCCCAGCCTTCTAATAATTTTGCCTCTGGGAATTTTGTCAAGATTTACAGGCTGGGCGTGGTGGCTCACGCCTGTAATCCCAGCACTTTGGGAGGCCAAGGGAGGTGGATCACCTGAAGTCAGGAGTTTGAGACCAGCCTAGCCAACATGGCAAAACCCCAACTCTACTAACAATACAAAAATTAACCGGGCGTGGTGGCACACGCCTAATAGTCCCAGCTACTTTGGAGGCTAAGGCAGAAGGATCGCTTAAACCCGGGAGACGGAGGTTGCAGTGAGCCAAGATCGCACCACTGCACTGCAATCTGGGTTACGGAGTGAGACTCCGTCTCAAAAAAAAAAAAAAAAAAATTATACGCTCAGTTATGTTTTTAATTAAAATGGGTAAATACTAACAATCTAAGGGTTTTTAAATGATAATTTAAATGAGATAATATATGTTTAGAGTCTACTATCTTGCCTAAACAAGAAATAGCTTTGTAAATGTTAGTCTGTCTTCTCTTGCATTGCCATTAAATTGTTGTATTTGTTTTAACAATTAGTATCTCTGGGCAAGTAAATTTATATACTTTTACCATTACCACAGGCACTCATGCATTAGTGTGAGACAGTCAATAAATACCTGAAGACTGTGTGGAGGCAGTGCTGCTAAGTTGTAAGCTGGTATATTTCTTGGCTTTCTGAAGTTTATCACCAGTTTTCCCTGACTCTAGCATGATCTGTACCCTGCAGATGGCCCCACTGTTTTTTGATTCAGTAACGATCATTGTCAAACAATAGATTTCTCTTTTGTATCTAGTTGATGTGTAAAGGTTTTTATTCAAATTAACAGAAAACATTTTCATAAAGCAGCTTTTAATTTATTCAATGAGCGTACAAGATTACTAAGTGAAACATGCAGGAGTGAATGATTGAGTGAATGACTCTATCTTATTTATCTAATAGTTACTGAGCACTGGTTGTGACATTGTAGCATTTGGACATCATTACTTGGCCAAGTATATCAATGCAGTGTGCTTTTTGGTTTGTTTGTTTGTAAAACTTAGACAAGAGTCAAGGTCAATGCCCTCAGGCTGTTAACTGTTTAGATTCTAGAAAGAAACTTGGAGATAAATAGCTTCAAAATAAAATAGAGTGAAATAGATACTGTTATAGAAGAATAGGCAAGGCACTGTGGTTAATTCTTTTTTTTATTTTATCACATATTTTTTAAAAAAACTTTTAAGTTATACTTTAAGTTCTGGGGTACATGTGCAGAATATACAGGTTTATTACATAGGTATACACATGCCATGGTGGTTTGCTGCACCCATCAACCCAACATCTACATTAGGTATTTGTCCTAATGCTATCCCTCCCCTAGCCGTAGACCCCCAGATAGGCCCTGGTGTGTAATGTTCCCCTCGCTGTGTTCATGTATTCTCATTGTTCAGCTCCCATGTATGAGTGAGAACATGTGGTGTTTGGTTTTCTGTTCCTGTGTTAGTTTGCTGAGAATGATGGTTTCCAGCTTCATCCATGTCCCTGCAAGGGACATGATGTCATCCTTTTTTATGGCTGCATAGTATTCCATGTGTATATGTGCTACATTTTCTTTATCCAGTCAATCATTGATGGGCATTTGGGTCGGTTCCAAGTTTTTGACATTGTGAATAGTGCTGCAATAAACATATGTGTGCATGAGTCTTTATAGTAGAATGATTTATAATTTTTTTGGGTATATACCCAGTAATGGGATTGCTGGGTCAAATGGTATTTCTGATTCTAGATCCTTGAGGAATCACCACACTATCTTCCACAATCATTGAACTATATTTACATTCCCACAAACAGTGTAAAAGCATTCCTATTTCTCCCCATCCTTTCCAGCATCTGTTGTTTCCTGACTTTTTAATGATTGCCATTCTAACTGGCGTGAGATAGTATCTTATTGTGATTTTGATTTGCATTTCTCTATTGACCAGTGATGATGAGGTTTTTTTCATATGTTTTTTGGCCGCATAATTATCTTCTTTTGAGACGTGTCTGTTCATATCTTTGCCCACTTTTTGATGGGGTTATTTGTTTTATTCTTGTAAATTTGTTTAAGTTCCTTGTAGATTCTAGATATTAGCCCTTTGTCACATGGATAGATGGCAAACATTTTCTCCCATTTTGTAGGTTGCCTGTTTACTCTGATGATAGTTTCTTTTGCTGTGCAGGAGCTCTTTAGTTTAATTAGATCCCATTTGTCAATTTTGGGTTTTTGTTGCCATTGCCTTTGGTGTTTTAGTCATGAAGTCTTTGCCCATGCCTGTGTCCTGAATGGTATTGCCTAGGTTTTCTTCTAGGGTTTTTATGGTTTTAGGTCTTACATTTAAGTCTTTAATCCATCTTGAATTAATTTTTGTATAAGGTGTAAGGAAGGGGTCCAGTTTCATTTTTCTGCATATGACTAGCCAGTTTTCCCAACACCACCTGTGAGACAAAGATTATGATACCTGTCTTGCAGGGCTTGTTCATATTAAGCACCTAGGACCTTACCTCAATGCATGATATGCCCTCAGCTCATGGCAGTTACAATTATAATCACTTTATTTTCTTACTTCTGTTCTCTCTTACTAGTCCCATCTTCCCTAACCTTTACTACTTTTCAGATCACATTTGTTGTTCTTTGCATTTTTGTTGTCTATTATAAGGCCTAGCACATAATAGATGGACTAGAAATGTATCTTTAATGAAGTAATAAATTATAATAACTTTCTGAGGTCATTCTTATGCTCGTGCTTTCTGGATAAATACAATATACCTTTCTTTGGCATTACATTGTAAGTAATTCTACGTACTCGAACCATTTAATGACCAAATTTCAGGAATTTTCTTTCATTGAAAGTCTCTCTTTTTGAAATTATCAGCTTAATACAACTTAAAGTCATACATAAGATGCAGTGATTCTGCGACGTATACATGAAAACTACTGACTTTGAAGTTACTCACTTCAAATCTTTAGCTATATATTGTTCAAAAGCACAGTCAAAATGGTACCTATATCTTCAGTGTGGAGGTGAAGGCAGTATTAACAATATCCTATAGTTGACTGAAGAGTTGGTTACAGCAAAGCTCTCCATTGCCCTTAAATTTTCTCTCTCCTTAATACAGTAGGATCAATTTTAAGTGCATTTTATGTGTGCATTTTAAAACTCTTTTTTTTAAAAACAGAATAGAAATGGTTTTCAGAGTGATGCTGATATTGGTTGATGATGCCAAGGCACCAATGGAGAGCATATTTTTTAAATTGAATATGTTTTTATTTTCTTGTTTGTTGATTTTTAAAGTGAATCCAAATGTGAAGAGGAAAAAAATCAAATTCTGCCAATTTGAAAAGAACAAAACCAGCTAAAACCTTCTTTTAAAATTTCTAAGCTATTATGAGAATACTACAGACAAAAGATTGCATATGAAAGATTTTTTTATAAAGAATCAGATTGCTTTGCCTTTCTTTAGTCATTTCAAAAGTCTTTGTCAGGTATGAAAAAGAAATATACTCAAAATGAAGAGTAAATATAATTAAAACAGTTCCTTGCCTTAACATATAACCTTCTTATGGGCAAAAATCTTTGTAAGGTTAATACTGTAAAACTTTGATTTAAAAGAAGGAATAAGAAAGAGTAGGCAGAGAGAGGAAGGGGAGAGGAAGAAGTTTGATTTTTGTAAGAGTAAACAGAAAATGATAGTAAATGAAATGATATTAAATCATTAGCTGCTTTTAATGATACAGTTTTAGACCCACAATGTATATATATATATTTTTCAAATTTCCAGTATTTGGCATGTACCTGACATACAGTCATCTCTTTTCAATAGTTAACAGAATGAGTGATATTGTCTGGGCCAGCAGCCACCAACGTTTTTGCCACCAGGGACCAGTTTCATGGAAGACAATGTTTCCATGGACTGGAGGTGTGGGGATGGTTTCAGGATGAAACTGTTCCACCTCAGATCATCAGGCATTAGATTCTCATAAGGAGTGTGCAGACTCAATCCCTCGCATACACAGTTCACAGTAGGGTTTGTGCTCCAATGAGAATCTAATGCTGCTGCTGATCTGACAGTAGGCAGAGCTCAGGCAGTAATGCTTGCTTGTCCACTGTTCATCTCCTCCCGTACAGCTAAG
Organism: Homo sapiens; assembly: GCF_000001405.40. NCBI lineage: Eukaryota > Metazoa > Chordata > Mammalia > Primates > Hominidae > Homo > Homo sapiens. The sequence continues at coordinate 114,677,356 of NC_000003.12, read as the reverse complement.
TTCCTAACAGGTACCAGTGTCTGAAGCCTGGGGACTGGCGGCTGCTGGTCAAGGCCACATTAGTTTATTGTTAAGTGCAAGGTTTCTGGTAACAGAAATAAAGAATTCAATTGATTCATCATCAAGACCAAATATATTTACTAAAGATCTACCTTAAATTCATTTTTTAGCAGGTAGTATGGCATTGTGGTTAAGAATTTACATTTGTGAACATTTACCAGCTGATGACCGAGGTGAGCTTCTGTTTCCTCCTGCATAAACTTGAGATTATAAAAATCCCCTAGTTGGCTGGGCACAGTGGCTCACACCTGTAATCCCAGCACTTTGGGAGGCCGAGGCAGGCATCACGAGGTCAGGAGATCAAGACCATCCTGGCCAACAGGGTGAAACCCCGTCTCTACTAAAGATACAAAAATTAGCTGGGCGTGGTGTTGCACACCTGTAATCCCAGCTACTCAGGAGGCTGAGGCAGGAGAATCGCTTGAACCAGGGAGTCGGACATTGCAGTGAGCCCAGATCGTGCCACTGCACTCCAGCCTGGCGACAGAGTGACACTCCATCTCCAAAAAAAAAAAAAAAAAAAAATCCCCTAGTTCAGAGGCTTAGAGGGAGAATGAGATAATGCCATAATGCACTTGTCCAGTGAGTAAGTTCTCACTAAATTTTAGACATTGGTATATTATATCATTTATAATATTATGGGTAAATGTAAGTATTACCTGACAGAGTTGTTATGAATGTTAATACACGTGATTTCAGTAGTACCTAGGACATCTAAGAGTTCAACATACTGAACATTTGGGAACCCCTACACGAGACAAAAAAGATTCATATTCACAATTTTTCTGAAAAACAATCTAATTGGAAAAAGGGATTCTATTTATTAAGAGATAAAAATCAATAATAATGAACTTAATGTTTATAGAACATTGACCTTCCATTGAGCTCCAACATACATTATCTCATTTAACCCTCACAACAAATACATGAAATTGCTTTTATTATTACTACTTTATACAGAAGGAAACTGAGGCACAGAAAAGTTAAGCACTACCAATATGTGGCAGTAAACCCTCATATTAGACTCCAGAGCCTAAGTTTTTAACTACTGTGTTATTCTAAATGGACGGTGTGCAAATGAATACGTAATTTGTTGAGAAGATCAAATGAATGCTGCAAGCTGATCAGTTGGGGAAGAGGATCAGGAGAAGTAAGGAAGATGGGGCCTTTAGCAACCAAAATATTCATCCTGTAACAGAGTCTGGCTTCCTAGGTTTGAATCCTGACTCCTCTACTTACTGACTGTGTGATCTTGGGCAAGTTTCTGATCTCTCTGTGCCTCTATTTCCTCACCAATAAAATCGGAGTAATAACAGTACTCTCTGGTAGAGTTGTGAAGATTTAGCGAGTTAATACATGTGATTACAATGGCATCTAGTATATCTAAGAGTTAAATAAATATTAACTGATATTAATATTATTGTTATTGTTACTGCTGTTGTTGTTGGTGACTGAAATACTCTGAATTTGTTTCTTTCTTTCTTATTGAGTTAGCATCTAGAATTGTAAGCGAAGTGAATATGTGAAAGGTGTGGATCATTAGAACACTAAAGTGCAGTTTTTCTACTTTCAGCCCAAGAACTTTGCTTTAGTTTAATATGATGGGAAAAGAAAACATACAATTCAGAGCATTCCATTGTATATTTAGGTGAAAGAAATTCAGTAACAGAATATGTGTGGTAGCCTCATATGATTTCTTTCTCTTTATGCCCACCCATTGATTTTTCTGTTAGCCTCCTTAAGAAAATAGTAATGTCAAGTAAAATATAATTGTGATTTTACTTCTTCTGAATACATAAAGGAATATTATTTTTGAAGATATACACACAAAAACTTTAAAACAGAATGTTGGGAATGCTAACCCTACAGCTCGCATTGTCACGTTTAGTCCATTCCACAAACGGAATGGTAATGTGCTTAGTAGCTAAGTATGTAGAAGCCTCCCCACCCCCGGCCCAGCAAAAAAAACACAGTAACCTTATCCATGAGAAAAATATGATAATATTCATTGACAGGGGAGCTACAAGGAGCAATTTTCCCAAGCTGTGTCTTTCAGACAATGCTGTCAGTTTTTCCACTTTGATGACTACAGCTGGGGTTGTGATGCAAGGACAAGAAATTACAGTGTGGCTAGAAGATCAGGGCATTGGCTATGCTGTTAGCTATACAGCAAATAAAATAAAATTAAAAATTAAAAATATTGTGTATATATATAATATATATAATATATATTCATATATATATATGAAAGATAGATTTTTTAAATGTTTGTAATAGAGATTATTTTGGGCAGCACTTGCCTCGATTTGCTCTCTACTAGAGACCTCAGCAAAAGCAGTTTATAGGATACCTTTTCTTCTGTTTTTTCCAGAGACCCTTTGAAGGCAGAAAACTATACCAGAACACCCATATTTTTGACTTGTGTGTGTATGTGTGTGTTTATGTATGTATATATTTAAACAAATACCACATTTGAAATGTTTTTCAGTGTTGTGTATTATATACCCAAGGCCAGTTTTATCTAAATCAAAAGATATTTCTAATATTAATATTTACTACTTCATGCAAAGAAAATCAGTTACAACTCTGTATCTTTGATTTTTTACTTCATTCATTCATTTATTCATCACCCTTCCACATAGACAGGTTAAAGCTTAATTTCACATTTTACAAAATAATTTGAGTTATACCAATTGACTTTATTTTCTAGTACTCCTTCATTGTAGTTTACATGTGTTTCTACTAAATGGAAATCTTTGAGGCTACAAGTTAATAATTAAAAATAGAGCAAGGTACCACATGCTCATTCCTCCCCTTGTTTTCTTTTCTTTGATTTTCAAAATATTCATCTGCAAACTTTATTGCATGTAAGTACAGTACCTCTTTACATATGCACCACAACTATTTTGTATGAGCTATAAAACAACTAGAATTAAAACTTGTCCAAGACCCCAAAGCCTGTTCTTCACAAAGGAACCTTTCTTGCCCGATTGTTAGAAAGTGTTTTGAATGATGCATAACTAAGTAGAGTAACTAAACAATTGCTTTTGAGCATCTGGAGCTTGCCCATTAAGATTTCTATAGCCCTTTATTTTCCTTTCTGTGGTTTAAGAAGTGATTCACATTCAATATATGAAAGTTCTGGGTTCAGCCCCTTGAGCTTTTGGTAGAAGAATCTTCATGAATCTAATAAATAAATAAAACAAATAATGTAAGAGCTGAAGACGGTTGAGCTCATGTGAGTTTATATACCAAAGCATTTTCTTCCTGGGAAGAAAAGGTATCTTCTATATATTTTGGTTTCCTAAATTTAGATCTAGAAATACACCATTGTTTTGTTAGAGTGTATTCTTAGGGTGTGTATGTGGGGAGGCAGATTGTAAGCAACCGATTCAAAATTTACCTGGAACTTCATAGAATAATGTCAATGCTTTTTAGGTAGAAAAATCATTACCTACAAATAGGGGATACATTATGAACGTATTTCAACTAAGCAAAAGCATAGTCAAGTGCCTTCATAATGCTAAATTTTAGATGTTGCACTGATGAGATATTTTCCCTACAAATAAAAGACCAAAGTGTACAAAACCTCAGGACATGTGGCTGAGTTAGAATTACAATGCAGCTGTCATTTTTGCATTTCCTGGCTTTCATGAATCATTACTAGTGATCCTCTGTCATTTAAATCAGTTGAGAACATGGATTTATCTTAATTTTCACCCTTTGTTTCCCTTTTTCGTGATAACAGTTTGAGATATGATGATGTAAAGTGTTTCTACTTATAATGGTTTCAGCCTTGTCCCTTGGCAGCCTAAATCTTCTGGCTAATTCACTGATCAGTTAAATAGTCGAGGTTATTATTATTATAATAATTATTTTACATTTATATAGCACTTTCCTCCAAGGGGCTCAAGGCATTTTACACACAGTAAATTACCAAATAGGAATTAATCCTTATATCACCCTGTGGGGTAGGTACAGTCACATAAATGAAATTCTACGGAAGTACTGCCTGTGTCACAGTGCTGAGCTCTACCCCAACCCCCAGTGAACCTGCCCTGCCTACCTGAAGATGAAGAATGCTGTTGGCATGGCAGGGAAAAGCTGGAAGAAAGATCTTGGGAAAATGGCCCGCTGTCCTTACTTTGGTGCTTTGGGCTATCTGGAAAATGATACTATTGAGAGCAGCTAAGCATGTCTTGATATGCAATTTACAGATAAGTTTCACCTATATGGTTTTATTTAATCCTGACACAAGACAAGGTGGGATGTGGTTCTCAAACTTCTGTGTGTATGGAAATCACTTGGGAGTGAGTTTAAAATTCAGATTCCAAGAATTTCTAGCTCATGGAGGTTCTAATAAGTCAAGAAAGGGCCATTGACATCTGAATTTTTGCCTCAGTTGATTTTGAGTCACGTGATGTTTACCCATATTTTGTGAAACTTGAGCTGATTAAGGAAGAATTGTTAGTCCCAATCTACATATCAGAAAATGATGGCTCAAGCAGGTAACATGTCACAGTATTTGGCAGAGGCTGGACTATAAACCAAGTTTTGAAATTCCAAAACTCATACTCTTTTAATTACGCTACAGCGCTTCCAGGAAAGGGAAAACAGAGAAGCCAATACAACAGGATTTAAATGTAAAGGAAAGGAGAGAACAGTTAGATATGCATGTGAGACACTTTACAGTAAGGTAGGCTGGCGTCTACTGGCCCTCTTGGAACCTCGAGTTGATTTGTGCTGCCTGGATGGAGAAGACCATCATCTTTTGGGCAGGGCTGGACTGTTCCTTGGCAGCTTGTTCCTTGGTTTCAGAACTACCTTGTTCCCTGTAGCCAACAAGTCAGTCAACTAACTCTAATCCAGCAAGTACCTGATGGATTTGCAATGTTTAATTTTTCATCCTGCCCACAAAATGAGTCTCCTCCTTAATAGATGCTGCCACCAAAATAAAAGCTGGATTTTGCCAGGAAACCAAGAAAAGTTCTTTTAATAAGCTTCCTGTTTACGTGAGTGGGCCCTTTATGGGATGGGATGGGTTTTACGTTTTTTATTTGAAGCATTCTTACTCCATTTCTAAAAGAGAAAAAAAATTAACAGGAAGTGGTTATGAGCAATTTGACTATTATTTTTCAATTTAATATTCCATTTGAGGTAATTTCATTCATTTTTTTTCTTGAATTAATTTTTATTCAGTTTTCTTCAAAAACTGGGACAAGGCATTATAGGAAAAACTATAGACAGACATACTGCATCCAAAGTTTTTATTCTGTTCTGAACTTCTTACTCAGAAGTGTGAGAATTCCATGGTGGAGTTTAGAGGCGCTTGTGGGATTTATTTGGGGTTTTCAGAAACCAGAAAAACAGACACGTGGTGTTACTGGTGGTAAAAATTCCCACACTCTGTGTAAACTCAGCACAGTTTTCAGTAGGTACTACTGTAAATTGTATTGAGAGACTTTCCATGCCCTTCCTTTTCTCAAATGCATGTACTCCTTAGGTATGGATAATAATTATTGCTGTTTTAGTGAAACATTTTGTGAGTCTCTCTAAGATATCTTTTCATTCTTGGAAATTATCTTCTGCCTCTGAATTTTTCATCTTTTTTTTAACACTCTGGTTATTCCCAGTCACTGAACAGACCGATCTTATTTAAAAGGGTCTAATAACCTTTTAACAGTGAGGTAAAAAAAAAAAATGGCATTTATTTATTGGCAGGGAAGGGGGAGCGACAACAATAAGAGAGATACATTTGGAAAATATAATTGATATGATATCCTTGTAAAAGCACATTTTGTATCTTTCTCAGCATCAGCCTTTTAGAACTATCAGTTTGGATCCCTTCAAGATTATTTTATACCTAGGCTAGATCAAGATTTTACCAGAAGCTTAAACTATTTGGGGGGTCCTCTTGAAGAAAAAGAATACAAAATTATGATTACAGAGTTAAGTACAGGACCTTGGAAGGGGGGCTGCGCAAGTGAAGGTCCCTGAGGTTTAAGCTCCATTAAATATGCAGTAAATCTGCCTCTGCAGATCCCCTTTTTGGGCTTTACAAAAGCACTTTTAATAAATATTACTGTTTCATATAACAACAAGATTACTTACAGATAATACCCTACTTTAAATGCGTAGTCTTTAGGTTAAAAATAATAAAACATGGTAAAAATAATGCACGCCTACTTACAAACAATCTAACTAACTGATTCCATGTAGCGTTCCTCTCCATTTATTCAGGCTAACCCTAACATAATGTAGGTCAACAAATACCATTAGAGCAGACATCTCTGCATGTACCCTGGTATTTCAAGCAATACTTGAGACAATAAACTCCAGGGCAGCAAAAAATGTCAACAGTTCCTTCAAGTTCTTTGTAATGGGATTATAGCTGTGTAATGAAACTAATATCAGAGACTAGAGTAGGCTGCATTTGACCCATTGTCTCTTTTCTCTGTGTTGGAAAGATGTAAGACACATGGGTGCCCCACAGCATTTTGCTTCTACCACCCATTTTTACACTTAATTATACTGTTTCTTATTGTTCTTCAGTTATTTTAAGAGGGTTTATGTTTTTCTCTAGAGCAAGATAGTAACCATTTTGAGAACAGAAATTAGACTTTTTCCCCAAATATTTTACAGTACCAGAACATTCCTGCTTTCTACCTTTTATTTTTCTGCACCTTGTTCTAGAAATAAATTTTAGTGGTGGTCTCTTGGTAGGAGGTACTTGGCAGTTTTTAATTGAACTTCTGTGAAAACCTAAAACTATCTCTACCTTCTCTATCTCCATCTCCCTGATCCTAGAACTTCCCTTAAGGTAGAAAAAGGCAAGTGTTTTGAAGGTAAATCTAGAAATTTAAATGGAGAAAAGGAGGGTGAAAAATATTGCCAACTCAGAAATTACTGAGCTTTCATTCTTTGTGAGGCTAATCCAGTTATTCCACCTCTTATTTCCTCCTCAGTAAGATATGATTCCCTAGTATCTTCCTAGGAAGTAAATTTTTGGGGTTCTAAGTGTAAAGAAATAAAGTCAACTTTTGCGAAGCCCTCAGTACAGTTTAGTGCTTGCTACCACTAACCAAAGTAGAATTCAAACACAAGAGGGTAATTGCAGAAATGAGTAAATCTGTACAACTTCACATTGGTAGTATCCAAATGCTCTTATGAATGTCAACTTCAGGCATCCTCTTTCATTAGAAAAATATGTGTTGTCTTTGACAGGGAAACCCTTAAAAAAATAAAATGTCACATATTTGAATTTTAGCTGTATTCATAATAATTCTCACAAACTTTTCTCAGAAAAAATTTTCTTGATTTTCAAATTTCCTTTATATTTGTTCTTCCTTTCATATATAATTGACATTCTTTAACAGTTGAGAGGTGCTAGGTTAAATGTTTGCAGAATAATTGTGGCTTATTTAGAAAATAAATTTTACTCTAGGGCTTATGTTGTGCTAAAAATGACTCATACAGAAATGGTTCTGCAACTCTTAGCTTTAGCCTGATTTGTCTTCAGAGAGGAGTTGTATTAGAAATGTGGTGCTATGTTCTGCACAAATGAATGTTTGCGGTACATATGGAAAATACTATGCACAGGAAAAAAAACTGGTCCTAGAAAAAATGACTTTAACTTTGCATAACTCATTTGGGCTAGTTTTTTTTTTTTTAATGTGTTCACTGCTTTTATAAACCATTTCAGAATGTCTCCATAGCAGGATAATGTTGCATAGTCGATGACTTCATATTTTTATACCTCCTGGAATTCAAAGGGAATATTAGTCTGGTTGGTTCAGTAATCTAAAATTATTGGTTTATAATAATGGGCATAAGAAGCTTTCAAACAACTACCTGTTTTACCAGTTTTTTCCTTAGTATGGTATCCAGATTTGTCAGTTTATATATTTTTGAAGTAGTTCCCTCTAAGGTGTCTTCTTTAACTGTTAGACTATCCCATAGGCTGAGTGTCTTACGTGTTGATGTGGCTGATGGTTTAAGGCCAGTGGCTCTCAGATGTTAGTTTAGCACAGGGTTTTTCAACAGTGGCACTATGATACTTTGGAGTAGATAATTCTTTGCCGGGATGCAGGGTAGATGTCTGTTCTGTGCACTGTAGGATGTTTAGTGGTATTTCTGACCTCTCCCCATTGGAGCACCCCTCAGTTTGGATTATCAAAATTGTCTCCAGATGTTGCCAGTTCTCCCCTGGTGGGGAAGGGGGTGGCAAAATTGTCCCCCAGTTAAGAACCACTGAATTGGTAGTATATATTACTGGAGTGAACCACAACTACAGTTTTGTTGTTGTTGTTCACTTGTTTGCTTTTGTTTTTGTTGTTTATAATGGAGTATAGAAAAATCTGATCCGATCTGAAGAAAGCTGGTAGCTCTCAACTGAGAATTTCTTCCATAGAACTATGATGTGTGTAAATGTTGAATCACATAGGCAGACCTCAGAGCTTCCTTTAATGACTTATGTGTTAGAGAAAGGGTTCTAAGATTCTGCATAGATGTATATTTTATACTTTTTATTTATTTATTGGTCTCGTTATTACTATGGTGATCTTTCTGAAAGGCAGACTAAGCTGGCACACTGCTATTGACTTAACAATTAAATTCCCCTTTCAACATCTCCTGCCTCAAATAGTTTAATAGTTGATATTTTACCCTTAGAAGCACCTAGCTAAAGAGAGACCTAGTGAAAACTAAAACCAACAGGTAAATTAATCTTGGCTTTGGGGCAGGAAGATGGCAGTTACACAAACAAGGTTTTATTCCACTGATTTTAGGGGATCAGAACCTGGAAATGAAAATTGGAGATTACTTGTCAAACAAAGGGACCAAAGCTCTGCTTAATTTAATTAACCTGATTTCAAGTACTTCAAAGACCCAGAAAGGCAACTTATTATTGACAGTATGAAACCCACTAATCCTCATAGTAACCATAGGAGCAGGGTACTATTATTGTGCTGTTCTGACTGATGATGAAACTGAAGTACTGAGAAGTTAAGTGGCTTGCCCAACGTCATACAGTGTGTAAGAGACAGAGGCAAGTTCCAAATCAGGCAGTACTCCACAGTCATCTTTTAAGGTCCTTTAAAATATGCTAGAATTTAAAGGGAAACTGACGGGCTGGATTTCAGACATCTATGTACAGGATATTTATCCAAAAGAATAAATCAAGAAAATAATATACCCTTTACATTTAAGGAAGAAGAATAATCTGAAAGAAAGGATTACATATTTAATAATCAACTATGTTATAATCATAGTACACAATTTTTAAAATATGTAACACAAAATTTTCATGGAATTTATCAGAAATGTTGACAGAGTCTTATAGCATTTTATAATCCCCATTTCCATTTGAGGATTGAGAGAATATTATTTTGCTTGTGAGCATGTGGGCCTGTAACAGATGATTTCCACTCTCCATTAACTATCAAATAATGCTACCTCTCATTAATACATTTTTCCCAGAAAACACAGGAACTTGGATAATAAATAAATCAGACTTTATTTTATTTTCAAAAAAGTATACATTTCTTAACACTCTTATGCCATATCCTCTACAAAATTCCTAAATCTGGAATATAGTTGTTGAAAGAGCATCTTGATATTTATAATTTTCTAAGCATCATTATTACCTAACACATAAATGCCTTTAGTTATTAGTTTATACCCTGATAATAGCCACTAAATCTTTTGTGTCATGTTTTTTGATTATCCATAATTTTCTTAAAAAGCCAAAATGATGTCTTACCCAATTCTCTAACTTGTTGGCTGGAGGTTAGGCTGCCATAAATCTGTAGCATAAGAAGAACAGAAGGGTGGGCAGTTGGAAAGTATAGTATGGACCCATTTCTTTTAAAACGTGTTAATCATTGCAGCCTGCAATCAGATCACATTGAGGTTCATATCAGAATAAGTTGATTCAATTCACTGGCTCTCTTTAAGTCTAATAACACTTGTGTTTCTAGAAGTAATAAAATTATATATGTAGGCATATTTTTTAAAAGTTATTTTGTTTACAGATGTGCTCTGTTTATCATGAACCTAGCAATTTGTGTTTTATCCCATTTATGCCTAGTGTTCCATTATTGGAACGCTAAGCATGGAGGAGTTATTTATATCCTACTGCTCAAGGTCATCGCCATGGTCTGATTGCAGAAATTCAAAGAAATTGCAACCTCAGGCATAGATGGGTTAAGGGGCACGATTACAGTGTAGGAAGGAAATTTTGATGCAGCTTTTAAAAAGTAGAGAACTTTTCATTTTACGCTTTTACACATTTCATATGTAATCTAGAATATCACCAAAGCTTTTATTGCCTTCTATCTATTTTTAAAATAATCTTGTCCAGCCCATATCTGTTTTTAGTATTTGCATCTCACAGGAAAAGGAACTGGTGGTATGACTCTTTGCAAAGCATTGTTCTGTGGAATTTCAACCCATAGAAACGAGACACCACGTTCTCTGTAGTCTGTCCTATCTCTAAAGGGAACCTCATGGACAGTTTTAAAACAGAAAGTGAACAGTTTATCACACATTCTAGTTACTCTAAAACCTCTTTTAATGTACCTCCTGGTTCTTTGCAAGTGAAAAGAAAAATGCTTCCTCTCTTATTTAAGAAGTCTTCAGCAACTTACCAATCCCTAGCATGTGCAAAATCACAAGACTATATAGGATCACTGTTCTTAGATTCTGAATTTGGAATTCCTGATAACTGAACCATGATTTTCAAATAAAAAGAAGGGTTTTGAAGTCTATCACCACTTACTAGAAGTTTTTATTGGCAAAGAAAGATCACACTTCTTTCTGTCTGCATACAAAAAGAAATAGCTAATCTCCTTTGTTGCCAGGTGAATTAACTGTATTCAGAGGAAATAGGCAAACTTGTAGAAGAAAGTCTAACAGATTTTTTAGAATTCTTTCATGATATGATAGAAATATTATGGTTTATATCAGGTGAACCACTGTTAACTTGTAAAATTTCTACTGAGGCAAGGAAATCAAATCATTTCTTGATTGTAGAAAGTGTATTATAACACTGGTGCTGTTGGATGCCAACTCTAGATAGCACTACTACCGCTACTAAGAACTATACAGTCTTTTGGCTTCTCACAGGGAAATAGACAAAGGGAAAAGGGAAATAAGTCAGGAAAAACGGATGAGAAAGGAGATAGATTAGAGACTTGGATGTACAGCCATGATAGATAACCCCCAGCGAAAATCAGAGAATGCAAGGGACAAAGGAAGCATGCGGTCCATTTAGGATAGTGACAATAGCTAAAGGATTCCATTTGATCTTACCAGATTGGCACAGCTGGAGGAGGCACGCAATAAAACTCCGCCCAATAAATAAACAAAGGTAAACACCCAAAGCTACAATATTGCTATCTTATAAACTCAGAGCGTGGGAAAAATTAGACTTATTAGAAAGCTTCCATGGCAGTCAGTCACTAAGAAATGTCAGTGTGATGTCTGTTAAGTAACATTTATTAACAAGCGTGTTTGTTTGCTTTTTCTCATGTTCAATGAATTGTTATAATACCGCAAAATAATTTGTTCTCTACTAATGCAGATTATTTTAATCTACCTTAAACTCTTTAATGACTGTCCTGTGTAAGACACCCTGAGTTGTTATGTTATAGGAACATGGCATTTGAAGTACAGATAGTTTCACATAATTGCAGAGGGTTTAATATAAGGGAATTATAAACCTTATTTTCATTACTTTACTTAATGAGTGCCAAAATTTTGAAGGCCTTTTTGCCTGAAAGAGCTCATAGCCTTTAAGTCCCTTTCCTAGGTAAGACTTATAATTAAACTAGACATGCATCACTTGATGATGGGGATACAATCTGAGAAATGCATCCTTAGGCAATTTCATCATTGTGGAAACATCATAGAGTGTACTTAAACAAACCTAGATGGTATATACTACTAACATATAGGCTATATAGTATAACTTATTGCTCCTAGGCCATAAACCTTATAAACCTGTACAGTATGTTACTGAACTGAATACTGTAGGCAATTGTAACAGAGTAGATGGTAAGTATTTACATATGTAAACATATCTAAACATAGAAAAGGTACAGCAAAAATACAGTATTATAATCTATGGGACCACCATGGTATAGATATATGTGGTTCATTGTTGACCAAAATGTCATTACACGGCAAACGACTGTATTTGAATATTTTGTTTTTCTCTATTTGCACTGGCACCTTTCTGCACACCTGGATAAATATTGTGTTCCATCAGTTTAGCTTTTCCTTGCTCAGAAAAGTTTCATTCCATCAACATTTTTGGATAATTTATTTTACATTCCTTGTTCCAGATTATTCATTCAGCAAAAATTAATTGTGCTTCTGCTATGTATATGCAAGACCCTGGAATAAGTAAGTCATTTTGATAGATGTTAAGCAAGTTTAGTCCTATTACCAGTTCCTAGGGAATCCTAACTTGTTCTGTATATGTACCACTGCCCATTTTCCTTTAACTTTCTCTAAGCCTTTTTTTGTTTTCTTTTCTTTGTGATATTACACAAAAACCATGAGTACCCCAGTTTTCTCTCTTTCATCCTATGCTGCATATATAAAGCAGCTGCTCAGTGGCTCACAGATGCAAACTTACCACAGTAGATATCGGCCTAGGCTAGTACGTGTGTGTGTGTGTGTGTGTGTGTTGGGGAGGTGGGCAAATAATAGACCTATGAGACCTGTTCCCTACAGATGCAATTCAAGTAGTGCTTCAAGAAGAATTGTACACAAAAATACTTTTATTTCTTTCTGCCGCCATCCTTTGGTTAGTTTTATTGTAATGACTGGCTGCATAGTGACAGGTTGATACAGTACTACTTTTGTTTCTAAACTCCAATATTGTTTAATCCTGTTCTCCTTCTTAAGCCAGTTATATTTACAGGCTCTTAGTTCCTTGGTTACCAGCATTAATCCTAATGTTCTGTCTAAAGTATAGTAGTGATTTTCTTATACTTCAGTTCACTACAATGTTTGTGTGGTAGTTGCCATAAGTAATGATTTTGCTTTACTCCTTACCAGGGCAACCACAAACTTGACAGTGGTTCAAAATCTCAGGTTTTGCAAGGGGTTGTGAGAGATTATATGTAGCCTCAGGGAAGTCTTAAAATGCTCAGATTAATTGTCTAGATACAAGTTCATGAGTCTCATGAACATTTACTTTAGATTTAGAAGGAACTCTGAAATCACTAAATTACTACTAAATGTCAGGGTAAACCACTTGGTTTTACTGGAGAAAAATGACATCTACTTAAGAAGCAAAATCCTGTCTCGTTGATCTGTCTAATGTTGACAGTGGGGTGTTAAAGTCTCCCATTATTAATGTGTGGGAGTCTAAGTCTCTTTGTAGGTCACTCAGGACTTGCTTTATGAATCTGGGTGCTCCTGTATTGGGTGCATATATATTTAGGATAGTTAGCTCCTCTTGTTGAATTGATCCCTTTACCATTATGTAATGGCCTTCTTTATCTCTTTTGATCTTTGTTGGTTTAAAGTCTGTTTTATCAGAGACTAGGATTGCAACCCCTGCCTTTTTTAGTTTTCCATTTGCTTGGTAGATCTTCCTCCATCCTTTTATTTTGAGCCTATGTGTGTCTCTGCACGTGAGATGGGTTTCCTGAATATAGCACACTGATGGGTCTTGACTCTTTATCCAACTTGCCAGTCTGTGTCTTTTAATTGGAGAATTTAGTCCATTTACATTTAAAGTTAATATTGTTATGTGTGGATTTGATCCTGTCATTATGATGTTAGCTGGTGATTTTGCTCGTTAGTTGATGCAGTTTCTTCCTAGTCTCGATGGTCTTTACATTTTGGCATGATTTTGCAGCGGCTGGTACCGGTTGTTCCTTTCCATGTTTAGCGCTTCCTTCAGGAGCTCTTTTAGGGCAGGCTTGGTGGTGACAAAATCTCTCAGCATTTGCTTGTCTGTAAAGTATTTTATTTCTCCTTCACTTATGAAGCATAGTTTGGCTGGATATGAAATTCTGGGTTGAAAATTCTTTTCTTTAAGAATGTTGAATATTGGCCCCCACTCTCTTCTGGCTTGTAGGGTTTCTGCCGAGAGATCCGCTGTTAGTCTGATGGGCTTCCCTTTGAGGGTAACCCGACCTTTCTCTCTGGCTGCCCTTAACATTTTTTCCTTCATTTCAACTTTGGTGAATCTGACAATTGTGTGTCTTGGAGTTGCTCTTCTCGAGGAGTATCTTTGTGGCGTTCTCTGTATTTCCTGAATCTGAACGTTGGCCTGCCTTGCTAGATTGGGGAAGTTCTCCTGGATAATATCCTGCAGAGTGTTTTCCAACTTGGTTCCATTCTCCACATCACTTTCAGGTACACCAATCAGACGTAGATTAAACTAAAGAGCTTCTGCACAGCAAAAGAAACTACCATCAGAGTGAACAGGCAACCTACAACATGGGAGAAAATTTTCACAACCTACTCATGGCTAATATCCAGAATCTACAATGAACTCAAACAAATTTACAAGAAAAAAACAAACAACCCCATCAAAAAGTGGGCGAAGGACATGAACAGACACTTCTCAAAAGAAGACATTTATGCAGCCAAAAAACACATGAAAAAATGCTCATCATCACTGGCCATCAGAGAAATGCAAATCAAAACCACTATGAGATATCATCTCACACCAGTTAGAATGGCAATCATTAAAAAGTCAGGAAACAACAGGTGCTGGAGAGGATGTGGAGAAATAGGAACACTTTTACACTGTTGGTGGGACTGTAAACTAGTTCAACCATTGTGGAAGTGAGTGTGGCGATTCCTCAGGGATCTAGAACTAGAAATACCATTTGACCCAGCCATCCCATTACTGGGTATATACCCAAAGGACTATAAATCATGCTGCTATAAAGACACATGCACATGTATGTTTATTGCGGCATTATTCACAATAGCAAAGACTTGGAACCAACCCAAATGTCCAACAATGATAGACTGGATTAAGAAAATGTGGCATATATACACCATGGAATACTATGCAGCCATAAAAAATGATGAGTTCGTATCCTTTGTAGGGACATGGATGAAATTGGAAATCATCATTCTCAGTAAACTATCGCAAGAACAAAAAACCAAACACCGTATATTCTCACTCATAGGTGGGAATTGAACAATGAGATCACATGGACACATGAAGGGGAATACCACACTCTGGGGACTGTGGTGGGGTGGGGGGAGGGGGGAGGGATAGCATTGGGAGATATACCTAAGGCTAGATGACGAGTTAGTGGGTGCAGTGCACCAGCATGGCACATGTATACATATGTAACTAACCTGCACAATGTGCACATGTAGCCTAAAACTTAAAGTATAATTAAAAAAAAAAAGAGAAGCAAAATCCTAATCTCAGAGATAAAGTTAATGTAGAATGGCACATGCAAGGGCTGAATCCATGAAACTCGTGAAAATAATTTTGGCCTCTGTAGAATTCGTTTCATATAGTTGCTCTTTCCTTTCCCAAAGTCACATTATAGGCAAGTTTTTATTTATTCACATGAGTAGACAAACTCATGAAATGGTTTCAAGCAGCAAATGGTTTTGGAAGCCAGGCAGAGTAAACTAATTTTTGATTTATAAATGTGCTGTGGTGCTAAAGAATGGCTGCATTAACAATCCACTTTAATAAGGAATCAGGGATTTGAGGATAAGAAGCCAAAATGGGTGAAGGAGAACAACAGTGCTAAGAGCAAATGACATGTTCGAAAAGTAAACTTCTTCATTTGAAGGAAGATTATGCAAAATCCAGCTTGAAAATAATGAATGAGAAATCTAACTTGATATGTTTAACAGAGGTGGTTGATAGAAGGTCTTGAATTGGCTCTGAAAAGGCTATTACTAAATATGGGAAGAACGGGATTCACATCTCCAAAAATCACATCTTTCGATTTTTATTTATGCCCAGCAAAGATAGCAAGAAGGTACGTTTCTCTCCCTCATTACCAAAGCTTTTTTTCTTTCTTACCCTTTTTTTGTGTGCCCAGACTATGAATCTGTTAACTAGGCAGGGTCATTTTCGTGAGCTTTCCTAATGCCAAGAGACACCAAATGTTGAGGTAGATCAAAGGGACAAAGAATTACAGAGACACTGAGCCACTTTTCTTAGGACCCTGAGTACAATGTGAACAGTCTACTTAGCTCCAGGCCCCAAACCAAGTATTCTGCAGCACACCCAGTCTGGATTTCTTGGGAAGTGCTCCCTGTTGCTTTTCATAGTTTAGATAATCCACATGAACAATCCTGATTAAATCAGTTGCCCCTAGGCAATGGGGAAAAGCATAAATGGCTTTTTGGAGAGAGAGGTCCAAAAGCTTCTCTCTCTCACTTGCTGTCTCTCTCTCCACCCCCCATCCACCCGCCCCATCTATTTATCTAGTTCCTTGTGTTTTCATTTATTCATTTTCTTCTCCAAAATTATCTTCATCCAATGCAATTAGGTAAGAAGAGGGTACTATTGAAAAAAATGCTGATCCCTATTCATTAAATGATTCAGGTTTTAATTTTAAATTACATGACCTGTCTTGTTGTGCTGATTATGAACAGTTTTTGAAAGGCTGTTATCCAGGGGGTGGTTATCCAGCGATATTATGGAAGGTCACTAGGCATTTGTTTTTTATGTCTGATTCTTTTTTAACCAGGCAATTACTCTATCATTTAATAATCCTTACCTCAAAGTTCACTTGAAAGAAAGCTCATAAGATTTAAAGGGGAAAAAAAATCCCTAAAAATAAAAGTTAGGCTAGGCTAGGCCAGGGTGGGAAATTCCATTGTGGCTAGAAGCCCATGGCAGGTAGAGTGGAATTTAATGAAGGAAACTGCTGTGTTTTTGTGTCTTTCTGTATGTTTTTCCTTTAAAACCAAGAGCTGGGCAGGCATCCCATTCGACCTGACGTGACCCAAGCAAATTGCTTCTTATATAAAAACAACTGCAGACTTTGAGAATGTGAAAATGCACTGTATCCTTCTCCAACCGAGGGAAACGAAAGCCTGAGAAACAGGACGGCCCTGTCAATACTCGTTGAGCAGAACTATCACTCAAACTTGATAAAGGGAGATTAGAACAGGCTCCCTAATGCCAGAGGTATTCATTATAAGTTGGAGTTCTTTATTTATTTTTTATTTTCTTAAACAAGCACAAGTGGTCAATGGAAAATACATTTTTACAAGGCAGGTTTTCCTGCAGGAAACAAAAGTAGGCACAATTTTTCAAAGTCTTTTCATGGAACTAGAATTTTTAAAAAATTTTTAATAATAATATTAAATAAGAAAAGACAAAGAGAATCATTTCCCTTTTCTACCACAGTCTTGGACAAGCAAAGAAGAAGAGATTCAGGGTGTGTCCACTGATATTGCATTCAGATGTGTTGTCTTGGCTTCTGTACTGACAGATTTATTTAAAAAACAAAGTTTTTAAAATGCATTGTGTGCTAGTGAAGTCACTTCATAAATCTTTTCCTTTATGAATTATTTTGATCACAAGGCTTGTTGTTTAAATCACTGAAAGACTGTTCTCCCTAAAAGAAAAATGCCTTCGTTTTCAAACCGCCAGTTCAAAAGCCAGTAACTTCCCCTGAACAGCATGCAGGGAGCCAGAGGGCAAAGAACAAGGGACCAAGTAAGTTCTGACTCCAGCATAAGGCATAATCCAGTTTAGATTTGCCGTGGTTCACAGAAGAGCCATGTTTTAAACATTTGGACCCAGAGCTCTTACTTTTCTCATAGATTACTTAGTTTGAAATGGTGACTCTGCTTCAGGAAAAAAACAAACAGGGGAACACAGCCTTTGATGCAGCTGGTCTGTCAGAGGGCGGAAAGTTAGAATTAGAATATTCTTCAAGCTGTTGCTGAATAATGAAGGGTAGGGCTTCCTAGTTGGGCAGTTACCACAGCCCCTCTGGGAGTTCAGAGAACAAATATTACCTAATGTGTACAAAGACTTTAAAAGTTAAGTTGATTACAAGCTGAGTGAGGAAGGTTAGATAAGGCAGTGAGAACTGAGTTCCACCAGAGGGACCTGATCTTCAGGAACACTGCCAGGAGCCACAGGGCTCCATTTGACCCTCTAGAGTTAAAGGATTGGGTACCAACAGGAAGTTAGTTAGGTTCTTGAAGCGAATAGTCTGTGTGAAATTACTACAAGGAAGAAAGAAAAGCAAAACAAAATATTGGAATATATGCATACATAGAGGTTGACGAGATAACCTGGATGAAGATTATGACTGTGAGATGGGTCAAAATCTCCCCAACCAAAATGTAATGTGCTTGTAACCAGAAGACCTTGTGTTGCTATTCATTTGTTTTTGGCACAGCACCTAGAATGTTGTTAAGACATACAAGCAAATAATTAATACTGGTCTATTACATTAATTTGCCAGGATAATTGGTCTGGTGGAAGGGTAGATGGTTCCAGATTAAACATGGGAAGAGATGAATGTCTAGAAGAAATGAATTTGAAACTGAGATCTAAAGGACAAGAATGATGGACAGAAGTGAACAGGCTGTCTCAGGTTCATTGATTGAGAGATGCTTCTTGGCTATTCACTGCTTCAATTGTTATTCTCCATTTTATGGCTGCTCCATGAAAATGAACAAGAAAGGCACGGAGATGATAGAGAGCAAGTTTACATGATAGAGGAAGAAAGTTGTTAACATGGGAGATGGGAAAGAACATTAATAGGTGATGTATATTCTTAGAAAAAATGATGACTGCTGTGGATGAGTTTTATCTCAATTCTGAGCAGGTAGTTAGAGGGAATGGTTGGAATTTAACTCTGGAGTCTGATGGCCTGGGATACTTTGTAGTTTTGTGATCTACAAAATAATGTTACAATACTATTTTTAAAAATTGTTATGAAAATTATATAAGTTCATATATATAAACTACTTAGCAAATGCTTCTCTTAGAATGACTTAAAAAATAATGAAGATAAGAGTTATCCATTTTCCCTACACAACTGTACCACATGTTCAACTTCTCTGTCATGATTAGAAATATCACATACCACTGATCTCCCAAGCAAGTTCATTAAGGTAGTTTTCTTTACATACAGGTCTGTTTCATTTTATTCACAGATTATTCTGCTAAATTTAATTATAGAAATATTCATTGGCCATATTTAGCGACTGAGTGGAATATATAGCACTTTCCTAGGGCACTATGAGTGATTTTTTTAAGGTTAAAAAATAGTCTTGTCTCAATTTTAAAATACTGAATATTGAGAGAGGAAGCCCTATAGACACTTTGATTCTAATGCAGTTTTCCATATCAGTTCAAGTGCTATCTAACATAAAACCACAATTTTGGTAGTTGTGATTTTGGTAATAAAGGAGTAACTTGTACTGTTTCAGGACAAATATTTCCACAGATAACAGTTCCAAACCATGGTATGGGTTAAAAATAAAACTAAACTCCAATTAAAAACTTAAAAAAAAAACACCACAATTATTTGAAGGCACCGGAGAGTGACCAAAAGCAGTTGGAATCTGGAGTGAACTGTCCCGGGTAAAATTCACGTTTGTTACAGCTTCTTCCCTCAAGGAACTTCCCAGTCTGTATGGTATAGAGAAGTTAGAATTCAGGCAGAAAACCACAATCTTATTGGTTTGTGATGTTAGCGAATGGAGCTGGCATTGGCAAAGTAGCTGAAATTGAGGAAGGAAGTATTAGAAAGGATGGAGCCATCGAGGGAAGGCTCCCATGAATCTACATATAAGTTACCCTAACATTCTGGCTGATATAAACTGTGCATGTATGTGGGAGCCTATAAGTGCCTGGAGAAAAGCAACAACTAGAAAGCTAAAAGAGCTGAACAGATACATTAGATGAAGAGGAGACAAAGTTAGGAGTTTGAGTTTACAAAGTTAGAAGGGTTTGGTAAATGTCTCAGGCTTTATGAATCCCAGAAGGATCAAACCTTAGAAATATAGATGATAGCTAAGAACTAAGAAATTAATTATAGAAAGAGAGACAAACCTGAAGCATTGAAAGTTTCTGTCAAATAATAAAACCAGTCCTCTTCAAATCAAAGTGGTCGACTAGTAATTTAATAACCTGCTAGAAGAAAAATGCATTGCATTAGAGAAAGATAACCAAACCCAGAGTTTGTATAAATATCATGCACAATGTTCAACTGTAATTCAAAAATTACCAGTGATGGATACAGAAAAATGTGACATGTAATTTTTTTTTAAAGTCCATGGAAATAGATTCCTCGATGATTCAGAAGTTGTAGACAAGGACTTTAAAGCAGAAATTATAAATATATTCAGGATTTTAAAAAAATATGTTTTCAGGCCCGGTGCGGTAGCTCACGCCTATAATCCACCAGATGTGGTGGCGTATGCTTATAATCCCAGCTACTCAGAAGGCTGAGGCATGAGAATAGATAGCTTGAACCCAGGAGGTGGAGGTTGCAGTGAGCCGAGATTGCTCCACTGCACTCTAGCCTGGGCAACAGAGTGAGACCCTGTCTCTAAAAATATATGTATATATATAGTCATAATGAGGGAACAGATGAGAAAATAAGCAGAGAAATGAAAATTTTCAAAAATAAGTAAAAAGTTAAGGTATAATACCTGAAATTTTTTTGAAGAGTCATTGAAGTGGCTTAACAATAGATTGTAGATGGCAGAAGAAAGTGTCAGTAAACTTGAATACAGGTCAATAGAAATTATTAATGTAAAGAACAGAGAGAAAAAGGATTCAAAAATGTGCAGAGTGATCTGTACAACAATATCAACCAGTCCACTATACTTTGCATGTCTCAGAAGAAGAAAAAAGAAATGAAATTACTAAAAAGAACCAAAGGTTAAAGTACAGAATCTGAAATAAAAAATGATTTGTTGGAGAATCTTAACAGCAGATTGTGGGTGGCAGATGAGAAAATGGGACAGAAATGATATTTGAGGAAATCATAGCTGAAAATGTCCAAAATTTGCTGAGAAAAAACACAAAAATATGCAAAGAAAATCACATGTAGGCACTGTATTCAAACTTCTGTACACCAAAGATACAAAGAAAAATCTCAAAGGCAGCCCTAAGGGTGGAAACAATAGATCACCTACAGGGGAATAATCAAACATCGACTCATTCCTCATACTAAATGTAATGCCATTTCTTAATGATTGAAAAGAAAAACAACTGCAAAACCAGAATTTTATGTAGAGCAATGTGATCTTGCAATAATGAAGAAATGAATTTTCTGTTGTCAGTGGAATTCCTATAAGTAGTGTGAAAGGCAGTGAGTGCTTCAGGGTGAAGGGAAATGACACTATGAACCAAGATAGAAACTTGTTTTTACAGAAAATTTTCACTAAAAATTTTAAAGTATCTATTTACATGTAAAAGAATATCCTTTTATTCTTTTAATTTCTTTAAAAGAAAAACTGACTAATGCATAAATTATAGTATTTTCTCATGAGTCTATAGTACTTGCAGATATGAAGTATGTAAAAATACTACAAAGTACTGGGTGGCAGTAAATGAAATTATACTTATAAGATACTCACATTTGCATAAAGTGGTAAAATATTAACTCTGTGTAAACAGTGATAATTAAAGAGGCATATTGTAATCCTTAGAACAACTGCTAAAAAATAACAAAAAAGGTACAGCTAAAAAGCCAGTTGTGCAATTGAATGGAAAAATAATTGATCAGTTTAACTCATTAAAAAAGGAAAGGAAGGCCGGGCGCGGTGGCTCACGCCTGTAATCCCAGCACTTTGGGAGGCCGAGGCGGGTGGATCATGAGGTCAGGAGATCGAGACCATCCTGGCTAACAAGGTGAAACCCCGTCTCTACTAAAAATACAAAAAATTAGCCGGGCGCGGTGGCGGGCGCCTGTAGTCCCAGCTACTGGGGAGGCTGAGGCAGGAGAATGGCGTGAACCCGGGAAGCGGAGCTTGCAGTGAGCCGAGATTGCGCCACTGCAGTCCGCAGTCTGGCCTGGGCGACAAAGCGAGACTCCGTCTCAAAAAAAAAAAAAAAAAAAAAGGAAAGGAAAACAGAAGAATAACAATGACAAAAACCCAAAAGAAAAAAATCAAAAGCATATAATGAAATAAATGGTAGACCTAAACTTAATTGTAGCAATAATTCCATTCACTGTAAATGGTATAAATACTACAATTAAAAGAGAGAGTATTAGGCTGAATAAAAAGGCAAGAGTCAACATATGCTGTCTACAGGAATACACTTTAAATGTAATAACATGGATATCTTGAGAGTGAAAAGATAGAAAGATATATACAATGCAAACAATAAGCATGAGAAAGCTAGGTTGGAATATTAATATTACAAAGAATAGACTTTATGCCAAGGAGTACTATTAGAGATAAGGAGGGATATTTCCTAATCATATGTGTGAAATTATCATGAATGCATAAGTCATAAACATGTAGACACAAACTGACAGAAAACTAGAGAGAAATAGTAAAATCTACAATAACAATTGGAGATTTTAACATTCTTGTTCTAGAACTTGATAGAACAAATAGGCAGAAAATCAGTAAGAATACACAAGAAATTAAAAACACCATCAACTGCCTTGACCTGTTTGATGTTTACAGAACACTATTCCCACTTGGAGAATGTGTTCTATTCCCACCTGGAGAATATGTGTTCTTTAAAACATATTTAAAACATACAGGAATAGAGTCCTGTATGTATGTTCTACTTTATTTATTAAAGTAGACCCTAATCTGGTTCATCAAATGAGTTTCAAACATTTTCAAAAGATTGAGATACTACAAAATATGCTTCTTGTTTATAATTAATTAAATTAGAAATAAAAAAAGAAAACAATAAAATATCTAGAAAAGACCAGTTGGAAACTACACAACAAACTTAATACCTCATGGTTGAAAGTCATGAAATTTTAAAATAATTAAATTAAGTTATGCAGTATATTGAAATTTATGAAACTGATTAAATGAAAATACAATATATTGACATTTATAATATGAGCCAGAGAGAAGCTTAGCAGAAATTTTGAGCTTTTAATCCTAAATTAGAAGGAAGAAGAAAGGTTTAAGATCAATAGCGTAGGTTTCCACTTTAAGAAAGTGGGAAAGTATAATCATTTTAAACCCAAAAGCAGTAAAAAAAGAAAACAAATAACAAAGGCAGAAAACTGTGAAATAAAAACAAACTACAAAGAAGATTAATGAAAGCAAAACATGAATATTTGAAAAGATTAACAGAATTTATAAGCTATAACAGAAAAGTTCAAGAAAAAAGAGATGATACAAATTATGAATATCAGTAATGAGAGATTATCATTACATATCATAACAATATTAAAGGATAACAAGGGAATATTATGAAAACTTCATGTCAATAATTTCAACAACTTTGATAAAATAGGTAAATTTATTTAAAAACATATTAACAAAACTGGCATAGTAAACCAAAGAAATCAAAATATTCCTTTATTGATTAAAGAAATTGAATTTGTCGTCAAAAGCATTCCTAAAAAAAGAACTTCAGGTTTAGATAGTTTCCCTGGAGAATTCTATATAACATTTAAGGAGGAAATAATATTAATCCTACACGGACTCTTTCAGAAAACATAGGAGGTAAAAACAAAACACTTCCTGATTTATGAGACAGGCATAATCCCAACAGCAAAACCTGACAGATATTACAGGAAAATAAAAGTATAGGCCAATATTCCTCATGGTTCTAGGCACAATAATCTTTAACAAAATATTAGCAAACAAACTTCAACAATAAAAAGTAAAAAGTATAATACCTCATGATCAAGTAGGATTTATCTCAGAAAAGCAACTTTAGTTTAACGTTTGAAAATAAATCACTGTAAATGCATCCTAATAAAGAAGAAAAATATGATCTCAATAGATGCAGAAAAAGCAATTGAAAAAATTTGACAGTCATTCACAGTGAAAACTCTCAGAAAATTAGAACAGATTGAAACTTCCTCAATCTGATGAAGGGCCTCTATGAAAACATATAATTAATACCGTCCTTAATGATAAAATCTGAATGCTTTCCTCCTGGGATATAGTAGAAGGCAAAGATATATATTCTTACTACTTCTGTTCAGCGTTGTTCTAAAGATCCTAGCCAGAGCAATAAGACGAGTAAAATAAATTAAAGGTATAAGCATAGGAAAGGAAGAAGTAACATTGTGTTTATTCACAAATACCATGATTGTTTACATTAGAAACTCTTAGGGGATATACAAAACAACTAATAGAGCTAACAGTGCATTTAGGAAGGTCACAAGATCAATATACAAAAATTGATTGCATTTATGTAGTACCGGCAAATAATTTGAAAATGAAGTTTTAAAATCAATTTACAGTAGCCTATAAATATAAGACATTTAAATAAAAGTTTAACAAAAGAATGTAAGATTCCCCACTCAAAATTTTAAAAGGCCTTAGAGAAAAATCCGTTATTTATAGATGAATACTCAGTATTTCTAAAGTGTCATTTTTCCCCAAATTATCTGTAGATTCAATGCAATCACCATCAAAATATCAACATCTTGTTTTTCTAACATTAAGATAAATTGTCAAATTTATTTTAAAATGTATATGAGATTGCAGAAAACTTAGAAAAAGAATAAAGTTGAAAGACTCACATTACCTAATTTCAAGACTTTCTGTAAATATATAGTTCTACTTTGGAACATTGGATCAGTATCTTCTAAGGTTAAGCATATGCCTACCATATTGTTTGGTAATTACATTCCTAGTTATTTACCAAAAAATAATGAAAATAATGCCCTCAAAAAGATTTGTACAGGCAAGTTTATACTGACTTTATTTGTAATTGCCTAAAACTGGAAGCACCCAAATGTGGAAAGTGGATATACAAATTGTGGTATATTCATATAATGAAATACTAACAAGCAAATAAAACAAAACAGAGTATGATACAACAATGTAGATGAATTCCAGAAACATGGTATGCAGAAGAGCCAGGACACAAGAGTATACATAAGTTATGTGAAGGCGAAACTATTCTATCGTGATAAAAATCAGAATGCTGGTTGTTTATGGGAGATAGAAATTAACTGGAAGGGGGCACAAAGGAACTTTCTATGTCTCTGTTATGGTGGTAAATATATACATTTTTATATATACATATTTATACATAGGTGTATAAATTTATCAAAATCAAAACTCATTCTGTGTACATTTTGAAGTCCATGAATTTTGCTGAATATAAATTATACCTCAACTCTGAAAAATTTCATGTTGACCCTAATCAACTCTCACCTGAAGTGCTTCATCTATTTTCCTAATGGCTACCCTGGTCCCTGTCCTAATTAACCTTCAAAGCTGTTTTAAAACTTTTCTCTTCTGCCTATTGCTCTGATTCCAAGAGATGTGGTAGAATGTAAATTGTCAAGATTTGGAAATCTGGAGAATGTTCAAGGTTAAAGACAGAAATATCTAATTAACAAGCCCAGATACAGCCTTGGACAGTCGAACGCTTGGGCAAGTGTTCACTGCTCGTGTTCACTTTTCTCTTTTGTGAATGATACTGCTTTCTAAATATATTTTATTTCTTGAGCAAGAGGGAGAAAAGAGGAGTCCTTCAAATTTACTTTTTGTTTTGTTGCATATTGCAAAGTTAATATCAAACTCTAGGTTTAAAACTTCAAAGAATGTCAGGACTTTTTCGTTTTTCCTTTTTTTTTTTTTTTTTTTTTTACTATCCAACCAAGGGTTTTACTTATTCCCTGGATTTCTCTATACTTTTAAATTGTCAAAGCCAAAGAAAAGAATAATTAAAATATTCAAAGCTGAAAATAAGCAAGATTTCAGTTTATTTTCAAATATAAGCTTACCACTTCCCTGCATTTAACTGTGATACTAGTGTTCTGGCAATATTACATATGATTGAGAATTCTGTTTACCTAAACCACTTTTTTATTGTTGTTTTTAGCTTTCTTAAGTGCCATCAGGTCTTGTCTTCTTTCATTTCTTTCTAGCTGTCCCCAACAAATACTGCCCAAGTCTGATTGTAATGCAGCCTTTCTTTCATAGTGAATATTTATTAAAGCACTTAATACCTGAATTATGAAATGTAGACAAGTGCACATTAACCTGGCTGAGTTATTTCCTTTCTTGTTCTTTTTAAACACATATTCTAGCCCAGTCTATCAATGCCAGATGGCAACTACATTTTGATACACTGAATATTTACCAAGTCATGTGGTATGCTTTTGAAGTATTTTTTAAACCCTTTCCATCAAACGAGCTGACTCATCTCTCATTCATTTATTCCTGCTTTTAACAAGTTGTATTTTTAGAAACTTGACCTCAGTTTTATCAAAATGATAAATGATATTGTAAAATGATGCATCCGAAGTTCTACAGGCCTGACTACACTTTACATCCTACAGCTATCACGTTTATTTTTCAGTGTTTAAAATGTTATAATGTACCAATTTTCTTATTTTCATGAAACTTGACTCCAACTAGATTATTGTGTTAGCACAGAGGAATATAATGGGAGAATATTTATACTTAGACAGCTTTAAGATATTCAGGAAATTAAAAGCATTTATGGTTGAAATAATTTTAAATGACCATGAAAATAGCAACTTAACAACTGATATTTATGTCCAAGACCTTTAAAAAGCCTACTGGTAATAGGCAGTAGGTCTAATAATAATAGTAGGAAGAAGATGAAGAAGACTAAAAGGCTGTCAGAATACTGACTCCCTGCTATGTTTTTTGTTTTCTTGATCTTCATGGGAATATGCTTTTGTGGGGGAAACTGTTAGAATATTTTTTTGTAAATAGATGTTAATATTTCTTAATCTAGGGATATTAAAAATAACAGGAGAAAGTATTGACAGACAAAAGTGCATGGCATTGAAAATGGTTAGTAAAGGCCAATGCATATTCTTAGAACTCTTCCTGGCCTGTTGATCTCTAAAGATTATTTTCAATTTTTTAAGTTTTTATGGCTACTTTTCAATGGTCTTTCAGAAATAGATGATATTATGCATGTTATGAAGTTAATAATAATGCTTTATATAAACGAGTGGAAGTTTTCTTTGTGAATAATTTTTTCAGAATTTTTACAGTGTTTTTTCTTTTAAAAAGCAGACAATAGGGATATTTGGAGAGATTAAAACTGAGAAACATGAAAGGATCTATTCAGTTTTACAAAAAATCTTTCATGATACTCTTATCCATTTTATTTTCTAGCTCTCTTTGTAATTGAAATTGTTTCTCTCTTGTGTGTGGCAGAGTTTGTGTAGTGCCTAGTCTGGAGTAGCTTCTCAAAAGCACAGATTGCCTTAATAATATTAGTGTATATAAATTCAAAGCATGGTGCCCAAAATGTAGTGTATATTGTTGTTATATTATTATTGCTGTTGTTCTTATGACTGCTTTTAAAGGGAAATCTCCAATCAGCCTTTTAATGTTATCTCATTTAGCTTATGCTTTTATAAAAGATTTGGAAAATATATAATTTACCTAGTGTAAATTTAAAGGAATGTGACTTGGTCAAAAGAGACATTCTAGAGGCAAACCAACAACAACAATACTGAATTCATTAAAGTTTGGATTAGAATTTGTTTTTTTTCTATATATAGAAAGCTTGAGATCAAATAAATTCTATTCCTATGACACATGTGGAATTTCTCTCTCTGAAGGTGTTGTCAGCTTATTCACCTATATGACCCCCTAAAAGAGGAAGTACATCCTGATGAAGTACACCCATGAGTCACAAAGCAGAGACTTGAGTCCATTATGCACTCTTTTAGGATTTGTAGATCTGCAACATTGTTAGTGGTTTCTTTAGAAAAGAATCCCATGGAACTCTACATTCTTTTATTAAATGAGCCCAGAAGATTTTCTACTTACCCTTTCACTTTTAATAGCCCTTTTGTGTGTAAACAGCTTCTCAAGAACTGGAATTTTTAGAGTATATCTTCTTTATTTTATGAGTTTCACTTGAATGTTTCTAACTTCATGGAGACTCATCTGATTGAATGGTAACATTTTGTATTCAGGCAGCAAGGGATTTTGTAGTGAAAACATTGTGGTGGACACCCAAAAAATAAGATTTCTAATATAGTTTATAGTGTATTTTTCTCCTTAAAGTTAACAATGAAGGAATAGTGTATCTTTTTGGCTCCTCTGTCAAATTAAACTGTGGGGTAATTAAATCATTGTATTATTTGGGAAGAAAGAAAATGGGTGGACATAGATTAAATTTTTAAATGGTGAGCTACTTCAAATACAACGAGGATCATTTTATTTAGTAACGTATAGGTCAACTTCTTAAAACTATATTATTTTTAAGCCTTTAAATATTTAATTTCTGGGTCAGCTGATTAGTCAAAAGAGTAGAAGCTAGAATAAATAATATTTGCCTTAGTTTCATTTTAGGAAACACTACTTTCCATATCTGCATAGTTTGAGTTAGTTGCCTTTGGGTTGAAATTTAATGATAATCCTCTGACAGTGTCAATGATCTTCCTCTGCTATACTTTGAACCTTGAAATACATTGAGACAAATTCCAGTAGGGCTAACATGTTTTGTTTTTCTTAATTTTCTCTGTATTTCAGATCAAATTTCACTCCTCTGTTATACTCTTATTCTTCTAGATTTTTATGTACAATTTATCAAATGCTATCTTTTAGGGGGTAGCCTTTCCATCTTGTGTAATATAATATTATTATTGCAGATAGCACAAATTAGTAGTTAACAGTACACTTTTATGAATGACACTTTCTAAATTTAAGATGCCATCATGCCATCATTCTGTTCTATCAGTGCTTTGGAAGATTGTGTGGATATGGCAAGTTTTCCTTTAATAAATAAAGATTATTATGTCTTCTCGTTTATCTGGTGACACTTAGCTCATTAAATCTTTGAAATTATTAATTTTAAGAATGTATATAAAATGCTTAGCAAAATGTATTACACAGTAAGCACTCCACAAATGGTTTCTATTATTATTATGTATAACATGTTTATAGCTATTAATGATATTTAAAATACCAATAATAGTGTAATTACTACAATGCCTACTAGTAATGAATAATAAATATTAATTATAATTAATTGTTTTCTCAATAAATTTTTTATTGATGAGTAATAAGAGGATAATGGAATGTCATAATACATTCTATACTACAGTAAAATCAACTAGTCAAAACATAGCACAAAATACATTTAATGTAAAATAATTTAGTTAAAATTTGCATACCATGTGATTGTGGAAAATGTCTAAAAGGTTAACTTTAATAATCTAGAAAAGTTTTATGTTTCTTATAGTTCTGATCTTTAGTTATTTTCCAATGACAGAAGTTGGAGATTAATCATTTTTCTTCTACTCCTAATGTTTTCTCAATTGGAAGATTAAAGAGATGTCAACGAAGTATCACCTGATTATTTATCAAGTGATTGTTACAGAGACTGAGTGCCCTCAGGATTACATATCTTTTTTTTTCTCTCCCACAATTGTCATGATTACTAGCCAAATCCAATTAGAGAGATACTAGAGAAGTACTGAGTATTTACTGAGTACTTACACATTG
Source organism: Homo sapiens (assembly GCF_000001405.40). Lineage (NCBI taxonomy): Eukaryota > Metazoa > Chordata > Mammalia > Primates > Hominidae > Homo > Homo sapiens. Next base: position 114,647,695 of record NC_000003.12, on the reverse strand, counting down.
TATATGTAATACAGGTTTCATAGATAATCACCTCTTTAGAAATGACTGGACTATAAAGAGGTTGGCTAATGTATTCAAGATCACACCAATAATAAATAGTGGAGTTTGATTTTAAATTGATGGCTGACTGACTCTAAACTCATGCTTTTTCACATTGCTTCTTTCACTCAACCTAAGGAAATTGCCAAAAGTTTTGGTCAGAAGCTAACCTCACTTTGGACTTTTGAGAACTCCAAGCTGCCACCCATGGCTTCATATTTTTGGTTATTTGAATCTTTGAGGAAGAGCTCTAGAGATAGAGAGAGGAAAGAAAGGAAGAATATAAGGAAGGAAATGGTGAACATTTCTCTCTAATTTCCTCTCTATGATAATTTTACCTTTATTCCCAAGAGGAACAATGTGAAAGTTCTACTTTCTTGAGAAGTATAAAACTGCCTTGGCCGGGCTTGGTGGCTCACGCCTGTAATCCCAGCATTTTGGGAGGCCAAGGCGGGTGGATTACAAGGTCAGGAGATCGAGACCATCCTGGTTAACACGATGAAAGCCAGTCTCTACTAAAAATACAAAAAATTAGCTGGGCGTGGTGGCAGGTGCCTGTGGTCCCAGCTACTCGGGAGGCTGAGGCAGGAGAATGGCATGAACCCGGGAGGCAGAGCTTGCAGTTAGCCAAGATCGCGCCACTGCACTCCAGCCTGGGCAACAGAGCAAGACTCTGTCTAAAAAAAAATAAATAAATAAAATAAAATAAAATAAAACTGCCTTGATTAAGTACCTTCAAATCAGTGATTAACTAGCAACTCTAGCCCTGAATTCTGAATCTTTTATTTTTCCTTCAAAAGGTAACTCTTAAACCATCCCTTCTACTTAATCTGCATATTGTACTGAGGTTATTTATCTTCCAACGTTTGCCAGTTCCCTTAGGAATACCCTTAGCAACCGCCTTTCCATACAAATTGCCTGGGAAAGTTTAAGGGGATCAAATCCCTTGTAACTAAACAAAATAGGGCTTTTGAATAGAAATTTAATAGCAAATTAGATTGGCATCATTACAGGAGGATGAATGAAACTTTTGTTTTCTTTACATTTACAGTAGAAAAGTCAACTAACTCTCCAATATACAATGAGCTGGAAGAGAGAGATTTTTTTTGGCTTATTTTATGATGTGTCTTGCTTTCACCACATTCTGTCAACTTCCACAACAAATTTAACCTCCAAAACAAATCTTAAACCTGGTCTCTCTCACTCACTGCTGCTCCATTTTTCCTAATGGAGTTTTCTCTTGGAAGAAGGAGTTTTCATCAGAAGAAAGGAGTCTCCTCCTTCTCCAAATACAAACTCTACCTACACAGAAGAAAAATGTATCTTTCGTTCTCTGTAAACTAGGGCTTCTACTTTTCTTCATCTCTACATAAAAGTTTTTCAAACTTCTTCCATCCACCAGTCCTACTGAGTGAGGGCATCAAGGACAGGGTTTGCAATGGTAACCTCCTGTTTCACCCACAGACCCCTACTTTCCTCCCATTTAGCTGCTTTTCACATAACGCTTCTTTTTTCTGTAGAGGTTTTATAAAAAAAGATTGAGAAAAAATTATTTCTAAAATGTTTATGCTCTATTTTTAATAAAGGAACTCAGTAAATGACTAAGGCCAAAAAGTTGACTCTTCTTTATCAGTACTCCCTATCATAATAATTCTGCAAAACTGCTTTATTCTTTTCTGACCTTCTCTGTGCTTTGGACTTTATGCCATAGTTGAGGGCTGTGTTTCATCAATGTTTCTTTTCCCTCTGTTCCTCGAAGCAACATAATTTGTTTGGCAAAAAACTAAGAATGAAATATCTCCTGCTTTATAGATAGTTTTTATACAACATTCTTTGTAATTGTGTAAAGTCTGAGAATTGTGTCTAATGAAATATCTGGTAAAGGCAAATGGTAAATAAATTCTCATTTAATTGATAAAATTAATTTGGTTTCTCCATAATAAAAGTATACTTGTATTAGAAGTCTACTTAGTTTAAGGAGTCACATTACATCTCCATGACTCAACATTCCCCTTTGAGGCACTGGGGGAAAAATCCAATAGTAATACCAAAATAAAATAACTTTGACCCTCAACAATGCTATGCATTGTAAACTGATGCCACCCAGAAAGATGTAAGGAAACAGCTGGCTGAAACTACAGTTGAAGCATCTCTGGAATTAACAAATAAAGCCAATTTCTGGATAACAAGACAAATTGATATAGTCAGTCTTCGAGTGATTGGGAAGAAGGTGAGAGGTGAGGTTGAGAGATCCTCACCATTTGCCTATATAATTAATTTGCCAGTAATGCTTTCAGTGATATTCATAAAGGTTTGAGGTAAATATTAAGTAATCACATATAGTAATTATTTATTAGTGAATGGGTTTGAGAACAGTTGGTAGTAAAGAAAATTTCTGTAAATAGATATAATTTACACAAAAATATATGAACTCTTAAACAAAAGATGATCTTTTGTATTAACTCGCCAATATAGTCTCCTACAATTGGTCCTTCCAAACACTAACATTTTATTTTTATATGGATGGCTCTTACTGTAATTTCGTATGTCTTTAAACTTTGTAATAGTTCAACGAACATCGTGGAGCTCATAGTGTGTGTGTGCAATAAACTATATTATATTAATAATAAATGTATATGATTTATTACAGTATGTCCTTGAATATTCATTATCCTTAGGGACTATACATTATCCTTAGGGAAAGAAAAAAATTTAATGTCTAGATTAGTTTTCTGTTTATTCTTTCATTTTCAGAGCTAGTGAATTCATTTAAATTATATCCTAAATATTCTTTATCCTGACTACCCACAACTACATAATTCTGTGATATGAGGGATTAGTTCCATCTTTATTAAAATTTCAACTTTTATTTTAGATACAGAGGGTGCATATGCAGATTTAGTCCATAGGAATATTGTGTGATGCTGAGGTTTGGAATAGGAATCCCACCCTAATTCCTATGGTAATGAGCACAGTACCTAATAGGTAGGACTAGTTTACATTCCCACCAACAATGTGTAAGCATTCCCTCTCCTCCACAATCATGCAGCACCTGTTGTTCTTTGATTTTTTAACAACAGCCATTCTGACTGGTATAAGATGGTATTTCATTGTGGTTTTGACTTGCGTTTCTCTGATGATTAGTAATGCTGAGCGTTTATTGACAACCGTGGCAACATCAATAATTAGACACAAAATGAATGAACTGCAGTGATGGCAATGATATAAATGAACCATAACATAACCTGTAACTCTTAAATTCCAAACATCTCTCTCTATTCTGCCCTTGGTGGCACTGGCAAATTTGTTCTTCTCTCTAAAGTTGGACCAGAAAGAAAGAACTTCCTGCTTTTGATGTAATAATACCAATAGATTTCTAATTTCTTTCCATTTAATTTTTTACAATAATATATTAGCTTCTTTCTGCATACATGTGCTTTCAATGGTATTGAGCTATTTTATTTCGTTTTGTTTTTTATGATTCTAAAATTTCTCATTTTTAATCTTCTAGGCTTTATCCTTCCTAAATATCCTTGGAATTGTTATTCATTTTGTTACTATCATGGCTTTTTTCCCAAAGGTATAGACTTATTAATTTGCATAATTAAGGTTTTTTATTGTTCATTTTATAATATTTGTCCAAATGGTCATTTGTGCACTCAAAAAATAGTTAAAGAGAACCTATAATGTGCCAGAACAGTAGAATCTCACTGTTAAGGAGCAGTTGAAAGGATTACTGGTAAAAATATATAGGGAAAAAGGGAAGAATGTTACAAGGAGAGGTACGGGCAAAATGTAAAGTTAGAAATTCAGTTAAAGAGTTAGAATTCTCATTTGTTCTAAAATACTCTTCTATTTGAAAAAACTGTACTTCAGTCATGCCAATTTAATAGTTGACTGTTACACTCAAAGATCAACTGAGAATCATACACCAAAACTCCAAGAAGAGGTTTAGTGAAATTTCAATACCTCTGGGGAAGTTTTTCACTCTTCCTTATGGGTTAGATACCTTAAAGTGTTGATTCACCAATCAAACTGTGCAGGAAATCAATCAAACATGCAGGAAAACATGTCTAGTACTTTCTGAGTAACCAAAGATTAGCCACACAAACAATCCTTTTCCCACTATTGCTTCACTCTTTGCCAAAATGCATTCAGGTGAATAAACTACAAAGGGATCATTTAATTGAAGAATGTGCAACACAGCATTTGCTGTTCCCCTGTGTCCTATATCAGTTCCCAGTCCATTCTACAAGAAAGGGATTTTCATCAGAGGGTTTCTTTGTTCCTTATTAGAACTCATTTCATTAACAATGGAAAATGAAGAAAATTATTTAGAACAAGAAGTCATCAGCACAACAAAGTAGCACATGGAGCAACTAAGGAAAATTTTGCAGCCTCAAAAGGGGAACACTCATGAAGGAGTAAGCATGTTCCAACCATATGTTTTCATGTAATAGTTTACAAATGTATCCAACTACATAAAAACTAAAATTAGCCATTTTGGCAGGAAAAATGACCCCTTTTCTGAACAGTGAAGAGTTTAGCATATTTATTTTTTATATAAAAGGAGGGGTGATTAATAATGTTACAAGAGGCCATAAAATATTTTTTTCCTTGAATTTCTGCCAAGCTAAGATGTGTAGCTTAAGTCAACTAAAGTCTAATTCAAATTTTGCAACCTTTTTGATATATCGGGTCAAGTGACATTTACTAAGACACATAGAGAAATACTGCATCCTGTGTATTCTTCTGAAATTGCTTACAGTATGTTCTAGGATTGCATTCCAAAATCTCTGAAGTGAATGACTAGGGAGACAGTAAAAAAGGACTGGGCCATATTCACTTTTTTTCCTTGGAATTCATTTATTGGTTGAATTTTAAACCTGGAAGGTTGAACCAAATGAGTCTTAGAACCCAAGGTCACCGAGTTGTAGAGCTATTATGAATTAACTTAAAACGTTTTCAGAAAATTGCAAGCTTGATTAGCTTGCTATGGCTAAATATTTAAAACTTAGGTTTGCAGGCTTCCAGGCTTTTTCTGATCTCAACTAGACATCGGCAGTCGGGAAAAGTGCTCGTTTTGTGGTACCGTAACTACTGCCATTCTCCTAGACAAAACTTCAGAATATCAGTATGCTCTATTTCTCACAAATGAAATTCTCACACTACCACCTACAGCCCCACTCCAACAAAATTTTCCTTTTTTCACCCTGAGCAATTTGTTCATTCCTAGATTGCCAATATCAGTTAAGTGTTGATCATATTCTAGAACATCAAAGTAATTAACAATAAGGTGTGAATGAGGTTTACAGGTTCACAAGGCAAATTTGCATTTTAAAAGAGGGGCTTGTTAAACACAAATGAAGTTCTAATAGACAGAGTGTGTGAAAGATATTTTTTCTCCAAGAGATTGGAGAAGATTTCTAATGCTCTTTTTCAGCCCTGAGATATTAAGGATGTTGGGAATCCTTTCCCCTCTTTAGTCTCTTGTCAGCCACTCCTCTTTTTACCCTACCACCTTTGCAAGTAGAGTATATTTAAAATAAAGGATCATCAGTGAGACAAAGAATTAGTTGATAGAACCTTGTGCATACCTGAAAATCTTGAGGCCTCAAACTAGGTACTACAGACTTAATTCTCAGAATAGTCAATTTAAACAAACAAAAATGGCATGCATAACAGGATTAGCCCTTTCTACCTGGTTAATTTGGAGGGAAAATTTATGAGAACATTTTCTATAATTACTTCAAAGTTTTAAAGAAATGTCTGTTAAACAATGAAAAACAGTGAGAGTCTTTTTTTAAAAAATAAAATTATTTGATTACATTCATATAAATAAAAAACTAAAGACACCCTCCATATACTTTTTGATGTCAGGTAGACTAAGAGAATTAAATCAGAACATCATTTTTTTTCTAGTCAAATTAAGATTTCAGAAAAGAAATAGGAAAATATCAGCAAAAAGAAAGAGGAACATGTCTATAGAGATCTAGGAATCTCTTTTTTAAAATTTAGCTAGTAAAAACAAGTAAAATAAAATAAAATCTACCTAGTAATTAGAAAATCTTTCTGCCTTACAAACTAGTCTTTCTACTCCAGCCACTTTTCGCCTCGTTTCCCCTTCCTTCCATGGAAAAATTATCTATATAAGAAACCCTATTTTATATCTATATAAGAAAAATTATTCTTATATCTATATAAGAAAAATTATCTATATAAGTGGTATATATTATACTACTAACAAAACTGTTCACAATACTTTTGTACTTTAAATTTCAGCCTTTTAGTCTTTGGCCTTGGTGTACAAGATCTATAGTCTTTCTTTTCTAGATCTTTGCAGGCCATCAATGTCCATGTAGAGATGTCACCCAGAAATATCATGGATCTGTGTCAAAGGTGATTACAGTTAAGGACCCTTGCTACAACATGCTTGGCCAAATTTTTCTACAGTCTGTAAAAGTGTCATAGAAGTTGAAAGGGAAAAACTATCATTATTTATAAAGAGAAATAATAGTAACTGTTAATAACTTACAGCTTTTCACAGCATATGTAGTTCTTTCCCTTCTGGTTTTTAAAATGTTTTTAAACATATTTTAGAAAGGGTTAATAATAATGTTCACAGAAATTATTTAAATTTGCACACCGAGTAAATAGTAGAATTAGAATTCAAACCTAAGCTTCAAAGAACTTTATTTCAGATATTGTACTTCTTTCTCCACCACAAATCTTAAGGGCATACGTGCTTGCTTGTATAAAATAAGGCTAAAAAAAAATGACCTAAAATTAGAAATCCTAAATAATTCATAGAAATTTTGTTGTCATCTTAAAATAAACTTTTTCTGATTAAAGCTCTGAGATTAAATTAATAATGTTTTAGTTTATCTCTTTCTCTTTATAGAAGTTGGCCAATAGAGTCTACTTTAATTTGTCCTAAATAGAATGATTATCACTGTAAATGGTGTTATGACTAACTTTTTTAAAGCTTATATACAGGGTAACCCCATATTTTATCATCCAAACTAGGACACTTTTGAAAGTGAAAATGAACACTACTAATAATTGTGACTGGGCCATTGGAACTGAAACTGGAAACTCTCCTGAGTAGACTGAGAGGCATGGTTATCCATAATTCTGAGTCTGAGAATGATGCTGTTTTGAATGAAAAAGTCCAGCAGAATGAAAATCCTTGTATGTTACCTATAACTTGCCTTCATTCCACAGTTCCCTTGAATTTGGTTCTTAAGCGCTATAAGCATTATTGAATGATTCAGTCTCACACTCCACCCAAGAGATAGCAGAATGCTGGTGCATTCATTCAAGACCTAATTAGAAGGAAGAGTGCCACCTGCTGAGAATCATTCACCCCGCCCTGTCCCTGTAGTTTTTGGATAGCTTGGTAGTTGGGAGCTTCCATGCAAATTTAGACTATTCACAGCCCAAACTGTTGGACCAAAAGACATGATCTATGCAATATCCCCCAGTAAACCTGAGTCAACCTTCATAGAGGTCTAAGTGATAAGTATTAAACCAACATTTGAAATGTCAAATGGGAAAACCCATTTGGCAGTTAAATTATTTTTATAACTGACCAAAATAATGTTGTAAAATGAAAGCCTCAAGTTAGTAATTGATAAAAAAAAATTAAACTACTAAAAAATAGATTTTTGTATATCAAAGCTAAATTTGACAGTATTAGGACTGTAATTAATCTTAGAATATCTTTATAATGGGCAAAAAAATAAATATTCTTTTGAAAACAGATAATATTTATGAGAACCTATTGCTATGTGCCATCCATGTGTCTTGCTATCTTCCAATTCTGCCTATGAAATGCTCCATTGAAAGGTGACCCAAAAGTGTTACATGTGTAAACAGACTATCAGAAAATGATAGAGACAGAGAGGGAGAGAGATATGAACTCGTATTGCTAACTATTGCTAAATTATTGCCAACTATTGCTAAATTATTTGGAAATTCTTCATATAAGATTACTTATCATCCACCTAACTTAAAAAGCATTTTCCCAGTTATTATAAAGTTCAAATTAATTTGATTTGTTCCTAAAAAAATGTCAGTTTGCTTACAATTTAAACTTTTATTTAAGGTAGAAAGTTTCCCTTCTGAGCAACAAGTTACGGGCTGGAAGTGGTAAAAAAAAATCTCTAGGAGAGAAAAAAAAAAAAACTAATGAAATTTTGTTGTGGACTAGTTCACAAAGAAATACAAGATTCCTTACATAATGCAGCCCTTTGTTTGTGGAGCCTCTGACAGAATCCTGCAGTTTTAGCTCAAGCTGAAAGCTGCCACCAAAGTCCTCCCTAACTCCAGACAGCTCTGAGTCTTTTTCCCCACCTCCTGCCATAATTACTCTGGCTTCTGATTAAATCACACCTTATGTTTAAGGTCACTAACCTAAAATGACCCAAAGCTACTCATTTCTCTTCTCAACAGTTCCCCACTACTTACTTGTAATATTTGGAAGCCTTGAAAATAGCTTCTGTCCCAACTTATGTAGTCTTTTCTCCAAAAGCAAATGCGATAATAGTTTCCTAAGTCATGGGTTCAAACCTCAGGTGAAAGATTTTAGAAATAATGAGCATGCTAAGGAGCCTGTAGCATTGGGGTGAATCACAGTCATACAACCTAAAGGACAGAGAAAAAGTCTTATTGCTGGTGGTATTTGACAAACGCTGGTTCCTCACTTAGGTTTCAGTAGAACTGCATGGTATTGTCTTCACATTTAATAGAAGACTTGTTTATATCATCTCTCCTTTAAAACATTTATCATTTGGGGGCTTATTCTACTGTCTTATTTCTTAAAATATGTTGCTATTAATTTTGGAAAATATTTAAAAATTTGCTTTTATTGTATATAATAATTGAGCTACATTGTAACAAATTTTTGTCATATAATTTTTTATTATAGAATCAAATTTTCCTTTTTTGACCTGGTTTCATCCTCTTTTCTGATACTAATCCAAATTCCCCCCTTCCTTTCTGTGTGAGAATTTCATTACATATAAAAGTCTAGCATATTTAATCAAGATGTGAAGCAAATGAATGTTTATGAAGTGCCAAGAATGTGACCAATGTCTGTTATCTAGTTAGGAAGAACAGTTTGGTGAATTCAAATTATGAATGTTACTATTATTACTTTGGTTAGAAATGTGTTCAGCAGCAGGTAGCAAATCCTGACTTAAGTGGCTTAAACAAATAGAGATTCAGTTTTCTCACCTAACAGGAAGTCCAGAAGTTGAGAGGTAGGAAATTCCTGGTATATGATAAAGTCTGTGCTGATATCTCTGGGATTCTTTTTGTCTTTCTTTCATGCTTGTCACTTTATGATCACAAAATAGCTGCCACAACTCCAAGCATCATGTCTATGTTCAAAGAGGGAAGGAGGAGGAAACAGAAGGATTGCCTTTTACCTTCCTCTTTGTAACGGAAAAAAAAAGCTTTCTCAGAAACTTGCCTCTCAAGTGGATTGCCACATAGATCTTATTGGCTATAACTGAATCCCTAGGCCACCCTTCTTTGCTAGAGAAGCAAGCAAATTAGAGAATACACTTGTCATAATTGGCTTATAAATTTCAAAACTCATCATCCAGCACTGAGCACATTGACACTCTGCACAAAATAGAGGTCTGCGGCTAGGAAGAATGAGGGAATGAAGTTTGGTTAGGGAATAGTGTCCACTTCCACTGTAATAGTGGGGGGAAAAGGAAACAGTGTGGGCTATAAAAAGTAAAAATTAATTTATGGAAGAAGCAGAACATAAGCTGGACTATAAGATAATTAAAGGAATTCAATCAATAAAATAATGATAGGATACTCTAATTATAGAAAGAATAAAAGCTTAAAAGCAGGAACACATGTTATATATTTAAGTGGCCACTGTATTGTGAATTCCTTTATTCTTTGAAGATAGGAAATAAGTCTTATTTGTATCTTATTCCTACTGTCTCACACATAGAAGATGTTTATTGAATCATAGTAAGTACATGAATAATATTCTAATCCAGAAGTCTAGACATAATTTAAGAAATCATGGAGATGATAGAACAGAAAATTTAAAATTAGGTCTCCTGTGGAAATACCAAAATAAAGGGAAACACTAACATAGTCTGCATACACCACAGAACACTTGTTGGGAAGTACTGGAACCTAGGATGCCTAAGCAAGATAGAGCAAGTAATGGAGGCTGAAATACTAAGTTAATAATTTGAATTTGATCTGTGAAACCCCAATTATGTTTCTAGAATCATGTTTTTTTAATACACAAACAATAATCTTTAACAAGCTATACAGCCATTTAAGGCATAAAGCCTACTGCTGTCTCTTGCTCACTTTTTCTCCATGTTCAGTTCTCTGTGATCTCCAGGAAAGCTTTGGAAAAATAAAAAGTAGTGTATTGGAGATCTCTACTTCATAATAATAGTTTACAATTATTCAGTTTTTGTTCTACTCCAGTCAAGAGGATTCCAATCAAAAGGATCCTAATCAAGGGGATTATTATATCATTTTAATGAATTAATCACTTTCTTGTTATATAATGACCTTCTCTCTGTCTCTTGTGACAATTTTTGGCTGAAAGTCTATTTTGTATGATATAAGAATAGCCACTCTTACTAGCTTTTGGTTATCGTTTGCTTGGAATATATTTTTCCCACCTTTTACTTTGAGTCTATGTTTGTCCCTAAAGCTAAAGTGTGTTGTTGTTGTTTTTTGTTGTTGTTGTTGTTGCTGTTTTAACAGCATATGGATAGTCTTCCTCTTAATCTCTTCAGCCAGTTTGTATCTTTTGATTGGGGAAGCTAATCCATTTACACTTAATTATTAATAGGTGAGAACTTATTACTGCCATTTTTAAATTATTGTCTGGTTGTTTTGTAGTTCCTTTGTCCCTCTGTTGCTGTCTTTTTTTGTGATTTGATTATCTTTTGTAGCAATATGCTTTGATTCCTTTCTCTTTATGTTTTATATATCTACTACAGGTGTTTTTCTTGTATTTACCATGAGGCTTCCATAAAACAACTTATAATCATCTATTTTAAGCTGATAGCAACTTAAATTTGATCACATACAAAATCTCTACTCTTTTACTTCTCCTATATACACACTTCATGTTATTGGTGTCACAATTTACGTCTTTTTATACTGTGTATCCATTAACAAATCATGTCATTACTTTTATAGTTTTGTCTTTTAATGTTTATACCAGAGTTGAAAGTGATTTACACACTATCATTAGAGTACTAGAGGTCTCTAGTATTTGACTATATACTTGACTTTATTGGCAAGTTTTATACTTTCATCTTTTCATGCTGCTAATCAACATCCTTTCATTTCAGCTTAAAGAACTTTCTGTAGCATTTCATGCAAAGCAGGTACAGTGATGGTGAACACCCCTCTGCATGTTTGTCTAGGAAAGTCTTTACCTCTTCTTTATTATTGAAGGATGGCTTTTCTGAGTATAGCGTTCTTGGTTGACAGGTTGTTGTTGTTTTTTGATCTTCAGTACTTTGAATATGTCATCTTACTCTCTCTTTGCCTGTGAGGATTCTGCTGAGAAATTTGCTGACAGTCTTATGGGGACTCCTTTGAATGTGATGAGTTGCTTCGCTCTTGTTTCTCTCAAAATTCTGTCTTTGACTTTTGACAATTGGATTATAATGGGTCTTGGTGTAGATCTTTGGAGCTCTTTGGACTTCATGAATCTGGATGTTGATTTCTCTCCCCTGATTTGGGAAGTTCCTTACCATTATTTCTTTAAATAGGCTTTCTACCCCTTTCCCTCTCTTCTCCCCAGAATTCCCTAATGTGTTTATTGATTCACTTGTTTGAGTCCCATAAGTCACTTAGGCTTTCCTCACTTTTCATCCTTGTTTTTTCTTTGTGCTCCTGACTACATAATTTCAAATGATCTGTCTTTATGTTCACTGTTTCTTTCTTCTGCTTGATTAGGTCTGCTTTTGAACTCCTCTAGTGAATCTTTCAGTTCAATTTTTGTATTCTCCAGCTTCAGTAATTCTATTGGGTTCTTTTTAATAGTCTCTATCTCTTTATTTAACTTCTCATTTTGTTCTTGTATCTTTTTCCTAATTTTATTTAGCTATCTCTCAGTGTTCTCTTGTAACTCACTGGGCTTCTTTAAGACATTTATTTTGCATTCTTTGTCAGTTAATTCAGGGATCTCTGTTTCTTTCAGGATGGTTATTGGAGATGACTCTTTGTGTTCCTTGTAGATTTTCTTTGTGATCTGTATATTTGAAGTAGCAGCTACCTTTCCCAGTCTCTACAGATGAGTTTTGATGAGTAGAGACCTTTACCAGTTCATGGTGCTTAATATGAGACAAGATAGAGACATACACCTTGGGGAGCACAATCTAAGACTGGGGGCAAGGCCCTTTACACTTCTTTCCTTGCCTTCTCAAGGAAAAGGCTCGGTTCTATGTTTTTTTCTTATTATACAGAGCAGTGCCAGCTGCAAAGGGATGCCTGCTCCTTTTAGTTTTTGCTAACTATCCCTCAGAACCAAGTTCTAATGGTCGCACAAGGCTCAGTACAAGGTGAAATGGAAACTGGCTTCACAGAGGGAACTCTGAAATGCTGAGAATAAGGCCCCCTTCATTCCCTTTCCTCCCTCATCTAAGAATAACCTCAGTTCTGCCCCATTCCTAATCTTGCAAGGCAGCTCTAACTGTAAGGAGTTGCCCTCCTCATTTCTTTGCTCCTACGCATCCCTGGGAACGAAGTTCTACAGGTGCGTCAGTACACAGTATGAGGCAATATAGGAACTGACCCAACAGAGGGTTCTCTGAGAGGCCAGAGGCCAGGAAGCCAGATACACACTCCAATCTCACTTTCTGTGGCACAGGAGAAATCATGAGCTGAAGCAGTCCTCTCAGTGTTGAGCTAAGCCAGTCTGGGGGAAGTACTGATATGACATTCTAACATGAAATTGCACTTTTTACCCATGCAAATGCAACTGCTTTTAGTTTGGGATCCTCTAGGGTGCCTCTATTTCTTAGCTACAATCTGAATATATTTGCAAGGTATTTTGGTTCCAACATTGTTTTATCAGTATTTCTGTGGAAGAATGAGAGGTAGAGTTTTCCACTCTGCCATCTTGCTGACTTCACCCCTATTATTTGTTAAGACATTAATTTTACTTGAAAAAAATATGCCATTTGGACTGGCTGATAGACAAAGTATTAAGATATGCACCCCTCAGTAACTTGGCATTTCTAACATGCCTATGGGTCTATAGCTATTTAATTATGTTTACTTGTTACTTTAGGCTTCAGCCTTCTTGATTAGGTTAGGATACATCGGATTATTTGAGCTGAATAGTGCTTCTTATTTTGACAGAAGAATGTCTATTTTGTTTTAATTCAGTGATATATTTTCAGTGGCAGATCTTTAAAATAACTCTTCTAAAACTTGTAATATTTTTAGTATTGGACTTAGTTAAGTTACTTATCTGGGCCTCAGTTGTATCATCTGCAAAATGAGGCAACAGGATTTAACATGGTCTCTAGTTAATTCGAGCTCTAAAATTGTGCGATCTCATTTGTCATTTCAATTCAACATATGTTAACGAATGGAATACTTACATAATGTAAATCAATGAGGTAGAACTTGGGTGGATACAGAGATGAATGTGATTCCTTCATGCAAATAGCTTATAATTTGATGCCTTCAAAACTGAGATGTGTATTCCCCAACACATCCTAGTTCCTTATGTTTGACATGTCATTTATAAATAAGGGTATATTATTTATTTTTGAAGTGGAAGAAATTTATTCCTTTGTTACTATTTTTCATCTCTAGATTTGGAGAAACAAAAATGTGGCCTAAACTATCATTTTAATAATATTGTGCATTTGTATTTCCTCTTCATTGCAAAGCATTTACAAGATTCTGGAATCATTTTCTTATCCATCCCTAAAGTAGCCCAGTGCAAGTAGAAAAGGACAGTTATTCCCCTTTTAGTGATTAGAAAACTGGACCCTGATTTTTCTGGAGTTATATAATATGCCACTGAATGAGAACAGGTAAAAATCCAGGAACTCTCATTTCAAGACTGCCCAGCCAGGTTCCTTTGTATGTTACAGTTTCTTTTAGTAAGTTCTGCAGAGCCTGATTCCTAAATCATCTTTCAAACCAAATTCTTTCTTATTCCCTATCCAAACAGCAGCATAGCCATTGATGATTTCAGATAGATCAACAGGAAAAAAAAATTGTAGTGAAAGAATAGAATGTATGCAGCAAGAAATGTGCTGTGCAAGCTGTGATACAGTGTACAATGTTTCAGTCTTTAGCTGGAATTAAAATTAGAAGTTGAAAAAACTTGGGGACTCCTCCATCAATCTAATCTAGAAACATTTGACTGTAGGCCCAGCAGCCCACAATGAAACCTGCCCTTTTGCTAGGTGAGAACATCATTCTGAACATGCCACCTTGGAAACTTTGCATCAGTTCTTGGTATCACTAGAATTTTCCTATCCTGCTTTTGAGAAGAGTCAGTGTGAGAACAAATATACTTCTTTTTACAAATCTTGAAAGTAGATCCTTAGAAATAGGTGATTACATTTCCTTCATAACCTAATTCTTTCTATGTAGTAAAAAAGTCATATTCATGTTTGGTCTCATAGTTTCCTTAGTCAAAAAATTTGCATCTAAAAGCCTAGGAAAATGTTTGGCCTGCACAGTTGAATGTTTAAACAGGTGCGCACTGCACTGGTCTGGCTGAAGAAAGGTAGTCTCCTCCACTTGGAAACCCTGACATTAAGAGAATGATTCTTGTGCCAGCTTTCAGGAAAGCTTGTGAAGGAAAAGTTCAGGTGATTCTTAAGTCTTATTACCTGATTATCAGCCCATGTGCCTCCCTTCCATTCTGTATTCTCATGAAGAAATTGATTTAATAGATTGAAGATATTATTAAATACATTCTGCATTAATATTATATGTCCTCTTTGAATCCAAGTGGCAATACAATAGAATTTCATTTTATAAATAACACCTTTCAAGCGAACACCACAGGGCACAGTACAAAAGAATCAAAATAGAACACAAATGCTGTAATCAAATGCAGACCCCAGGAAGGCTGATTAAAAAGGCATGTTGCTACTAAGAACAGCCGACAGGTTAAGTATAGTGGGTCATAGCAGAAAAGCCAGCAGAACAGAAGGGCAAACTAAAATAAAATGGACTTGCCTGCCTGAATCACACGGACTTATGACATTCCTTTGTCTTCATCTCTTTTTGAACTCAGGAATTGCAGGGGAGAGGGGGGTGTGCATGTGTGTTGGAGGAGAGAACTAAACATAGGGTCATTAAATTTATCCTCAGTACTCACGCATAGCACAAACAAAAGGAAATCATAAGGATAACCACCTGCAGCTGGCAGAGATGCCTACAGTGTGATTGTGAGACAACCCAACATGGCTTGCTTTGCTGGATACCACTGGCTTTAAGAAAACACAACTGTGAGGTAACAAGTAGACCCCTTCCATAATAGTGAGAACAGATAGTGCTGATGGCCAGACATAGGTAAAAACGGATGAATGGTGAGAAAGATGTTCTGTGGTCCTGACCTCAGTATAGTCTACTCTCTACAGGACTCTCCTCACCCAATTAGCTTTTCTGCTCTCAGCCTCTCACAACCACGCTCCTTGCTAATGTCAGGTGTTTGTGGTTTTAAACTCTACCTGTAATTATACAGCAAAAGCACCTGTTCCCTTCTTAAGGGAATTAGGCAAAAGTAGGGGAGGTATTTTGGAATATACTCTCTCCCCATATGTAAAACTAGTTCTAACAATGATCACAGTATCATAGTTTACCAAATTGGTCATTTATTGATGCTTCTCTATTTAATATTAAGAGTAGAACAATATAGGACCAGAATCATAAGAAAAAATTTCTAAATATGTATTTTTCTGAAAAACAGTAACCTATATTTTGCTGGGCACGTGGCTCATGCCTGTAATCCCAGCACTTTGGGAGGCCGAGGCAGGCGGATCACGAGGTCAGGAGTTCAAGACCAGCCTGACCAATATGGTGAAACCCTGTCTCTACTAAAAATACAAAAATTAGCTGGGTGTGGTGGCACATGTCTGTAATCCCAGCTACTCAAGAGGCTGAGGCAGGAGAATTGCTTGAACCCGGAAGGCAGAGGTTGCAGTGAGCCAAGATTGCACCACTGCACTCCAGCCTGGGCAACAGAGCAAGACGCCATCTCAAAAAAAAAAAAAAAAAAAAAAAAAAAAGAATAACCTATTTAAGAGCCACCCCACCCCTCCACAAAAATGTCATAGAAGAAGCAAATATGAGTTCTAGAGTTAATTAAAAAGAAAAGGAAAGAGAAAGGAAAAATGATAATCGAGGCAATTTTTACCTCTCTCAAAGCTTTTGGTTGTTTGTAATGACTCTTCTGAATACCCACTTAGTTGAGATTCTGGTGTGAGATCACTGATGCATACATTTAGGTCAATAGCTTAGTACTTCTGTATATTTTTTTCTTAAGTAAATTATAAACATGTAATTAAAATGTATGTGGGCAGCACTTGGGGGAAAAGGTTATGTACATATACTAGTACTGTCACTTTAAAATATTCTATTATAGGTATTTATCTACTGGCCTCTTATTTTTCTTAATTCTGACAGTATTTGCTTAACTATGCAAAGGGAGTTGGTTTATTAGTAAATGTGAACAGTAGTGCAATCAGTTGAAAATACTGGATTATAATCTCTAATGTGAGTTATTTCATGAAGTGTGTGAGCAAATAATAATATCTGTGCCAGTTACCAATGTATTACCTCCCATTGCCTCCTTCCAAATGTAGTTCTCCTTGCCTGCTCTGCAAAAATGTATCTGGATTCTTTAAATATTTTTTCTTTGCTAGCTGGTTTGAGGGTGCTTTGTCAGTAGAGAAGGTAGGGAGACGTTGCAGAAAGAAGAAATTTTCCTTCCTGGTTGTCATGCACTACTTTGGCAGCCTCCTGCAATGTGCACGGTTTCTCCAGAGCCTGGCTTCTACAACATAAGCAACCTTTACAGCATGTAGCTCCTGCAGCAAATGCAGCTAACCTGGTACCCAGCAGCTGAAGCACAGGTAGCTTCTCCAGTACGTGGCAGGTAGCAGCTACCCCTAGCACCCACCATACACACACACGTACACACACATGTGTACACACACATTGGGCAATTTATAGCAGAGTGCCTCAGATGAGATACATCCCTGTAAATAGCTTTCATTAGCACCCTAGAGTGCAGGTGCTACTGATGCAGCTCCCCAGCAACTTCTCTGCCATCCAATGAGTTATGGCTGTGTGTTGTCCAACAAGGTCTGGATCCTGGTCCAGGGGTCCAGGAGATTTTTGTCTTGAGTCCTACAATGTCTAGATCTCAGTCCAGGGATGGAGGAGACTCTTCCTTGGATATGCTATCTTAGCCCTGCAAATAATGGCTGTTCCTTACATTTGTTATTCTTCTATTCTTTTTTATTTTTTAAGACAAGGTCTCGCTTTGTCACCCAGGGTTGAATGCAGTGGCATGAACACAGCTCACTGCAGCCTCAACCTCCTGGAATCAAGCGATCCTCTCACCTCAGCCCCACAAGTAGCTGGGACTGCAGGCACACACCATCATGCTCGACTAATATTTTGTAGAAACGGCATTTCACCATTTTGCCCAAACTAGTCTTCAGCTCCTAGGCTGAAGACCCACCTCGGCCCTAAGTGCTGGGATTACAGGCATGAGCCCCTGCGCCTGGCCCATGTTATTCTTATATTCTTTAAAGTATTCTTTACTTCTTACTAGCTACTCTTATTACTTTAATCCCGTTATTATTAATAATTTAAACTAACTTTCTATTCAAATTGCTATATGGTCTCTGTATCCAAACAGGGCCTGACTGACACATACCCAAAGAATATTAAAATAATCTATATTCTTTGGGAGTAGGAGAAGATAAATATGATAAGTCATCTTTTTATAGAACAGATTAGTATTGGTACAATGTGCCTTATCTAGGGCTGGCTATTAGATGGACAAAAACTTTTGAGAATTTGCTGCTGCACTGAAAAGTGCTACAATAATAATAATATGGTGCTATATATTAGTCTAACTGTACATACAGTTTAAATATCAAATTTTTAAATATTTTACATGATTTTACTGAGACTTTTTAAAAATGTAAGCTATAGTGAAGCAAACAACAAAGGCTGTACTAAAAAATAATTTGTTGACCCTGAAAAGATGTTGCAAAATAATAATTCTATAATGTGAATTTGTAGATTATTAATGCTAGGATAATGATAGCCATCATTTATTGAGAACTGAGAAAATCCTCAGCACTTTATATTAATTTATTGGATCCTCATATTAATTAATAGAAGTGGATATTATTATCATCCCTATTTTACAAATGGGAAAAGAAAGACTTGGCAAGGTTAAGGAACTGGCCTGAGGTGATATATATAATAAATTTCAGAGCCAAAATTTGAATCTAGATCTGCCTATGAGCCCTGAATCTTAACCACTGCCCACTGCTTCCAGAATACTGACACTGAAGCAAATGGCAAGTCATTTGTGAAAACAAACCCAGGATACTTGTTTTTGTTGGTTTTCATCAAAGATCCAGAAAAAGAAACTCTGAAGTATCCCTAGAATGTATAGCACACCCTGAGATATTTCTGAGATAGCTAACCTATTACTTTTTTTTTAACAAAATATGGACAAACTGGATGAACATAGTGATCAAATCCCCAGAACCAAAGTGTTAACAGTCTATCAAAACCTAGCAGCCTTTATTCAGAGCTGAATTGAAGGCAGATGAAATATTAACAGCAGCTCTAGCAGCATAAAATGAAATATGAGATCCTGTATCAGAAATTATTAGTAACCTGTTAAAAGAAATGCTGAAAAATGGCAGTTACCAAATTAAAACTGGGAAACAGAGCCCAAATGGGAAATTTCAAAAAGTTTGGAGGAAAATAAATGACAGATCGTCCTCTTGGCTCTTATTAGTATGCCATCCTAAATCCTGCTTGGCAATGGGTGGTGGAGGTGAAATAAGAACTGCATTGCTGCCAGTGCTGGTCCTCAGATTTGTAGTCCTAAGTGTCTGTGATGGTGTCTGGGATTGATTGGAAAAGTAGTTAGAAGTTGGTAGCATTTTAGCTTTATCTAAGTTAAAGAGTGTGGAGACTCTTATTATGAAAGGCTTTCTCTCATTTGTGAATTGGCCCCTTTGCTCCACTTTTGGATGGCTGGCTTCCTCCATGCCCTGCTACACTAAATATTCTACATGGGAAAGCTATTTTCCTTAAACGCCTTCAAATTTAAAGCATCTATTTGGATATGTTGGTGTTTATGACTCAAAATATCTAGCATCAAATAAAAAAAGAGAGAGATTACAAATACAAAATACCAACTAGTAAATGAAGGACATATTTTTCCATTAGTAACTGAGAGCATAGAGATTACTATGAGCGGAGTTGTTGAGCAGTTGATGCCAAAGGGAGAAAAAAAAGGAAATGAGCTATAGAACCATAGAATCTTAGTGTTGGCAGAGACTATGGAGTTTATGCAGTCCTACCCTATCATTTTTCAATGAAGAGACTGAGACATGGGGAGTTAAGGGACTTGACTTGCCCAAGACACATAGTTGTTTACTGACAGTCAGGCCAAAAACATTTCCCAACTCCCAGCCCGGAACTCTACAGTTCAGCATGCTACTGCCGTCCTCTACTGAAAATTAACACTAACTCAGCCTGGAACATAGAAGAATTCAGCATCTGTGGGGAGTGAAAGAAAAGATGAATTTAGAGCTGGAAATCAATCTGGGAAAAGAAAAGAGGAAACGGATGATTTGTCATTGTGACTTGTTGGTCAAGGTTGTATAAGATATTTTGTGTCAGTTACTCCCCTGTGCATTCCTACAAAATACAATGGAATTATTTTGTTATAATTCCCCAGGGTTTATATTTATATGTACAGGTTTTATTTGCTTGGTGAATTCTCCATGTACAAGTCATCTCCAGGTGTAGATTGGTTTGTGGATGGCATTGCTATTGAACCTTGTCATTTACATGGGTCTGACTTTCCTTCTCTAACAGTAAAGTATGCTCCAGGGGAATCTTCTTCATGGGATACTCCTAACTGAGGGTCAGAAGTAGGCTTAAGATGTAAGAATTATCGTCTATTAACCCTTGTATTC
This sequence comes from Homo sapiens, assembly GCF_000001405.40. Classification (NCBI taxonomy): domain Eukaryota; kingdom Metazoa; phylum Chordata; class Mammalia; order Primates; family Hominidae; genus Homo; species Homo sapiens. The sequence goes on along the minus strand of NC_000003.12, from coordinate 114,627,428 downwards.
TGATAATCTCATGGAAAACTTGGGCCATATGTGGGACTTTTAATCAGGCTAATGAATTAGGTAAAATAATTTTCTTTATTTGGAAGCGCAGAGTAATTTGAAGTAAACCAGTAGCAAATAAGATACAATAAACATGTCCCAATAGGATCCCCTGTGAAATGGCATTCTAGCAGTATAGATCTCCTAGTTTAGTCAAATATTTTTCAGAACAGAGCAACCAGAAATGAGAGAATCAGATAATATGATGAAAACTACAGATGGAATGCTTTGCATGAAAAGTGATTATATACAAGAGAGGGCTTAGGAGTGGGTAGGAGTAGAGTTGGAAAAGAGTGGGTAACTGAAATAAGAGAAGATAATGCTTGACCAGGTCTAGTAAAATATTCCCTGCCACAACCACTATTCCATGAAGAGATTGAGCCAAGAGGCCTGAATAAACTAACCTTAAGTTCAGAGTTGCCATTATTGTGGGAGGCATCAGGGAGAGCACATCCGGAATTGTGTTACACAGTAATCACTGCTGGGTGTCAGCATTCATCAGCCAGATGGTCAGACCCACAATTAATCAATTAGGCTGCGATGATCAACTGGACTACGTTTTCCCCTTTGGTAAAAAGCCCTCATCATGCGGTTAAGGCCAATAACACTTTTATCCTGTTGCTTTTGGAGAAGCTTCTAAAAATTCCTCTTTTCTTTTTTGGGCCTCTAGTTACTGGACAACTGTTAGGCTCCAAGTTGCTTTGACAACATAGATACCCAAATTCAAGGATTTCACATAATAGATTTTCAACATCCTGTGTCTTCAAGTATAATGTTTAACATACCCAGACAGAAATAATCTTTTTAAAGCAGCAGTGTAAGCAGTGTTACTCAACTGATTTTACTAGAGTCTTCATATTGATTCCTCTCAATCCAGTGGAACAACACTGGAGGGGGATTCTTTCACTGGATACTTATAAAGATGATATGATATGATAATCAAATAATATGAATAATAAGCAATTTACTGAATGTTCACCATGTGACAGGTACTGCTGAGATAAGGGTTAATGAACATTGATTCAGTGCTTACAATGATTCCATGAGGATGATAATATTATTTCCATTTCAAAGAGAGAGAAACTGAGGCTAGAAAGCTCATTTGCCCAAGATTAAACAGTTAGTAAATATGTGTTCAGATGACTTAATACCCTCTGAAATGAAAGCTGAAAGTTTATTTTACATTTCCTTACCCATATACATCTGTGCATCTCTGAGGGACAACATTTAGGAATATGTGGTGGGTCCTCATTACTCCTCTTAAAAGGACTTTAAAGAAATATTTTACTCGTGTTCCCGAAGTCTGTTGCTCTCCTTCTGTTTTCCATGCTGTTTTATTCTACATCATGTGACTTGAGATTGCTTTCTTCCTTCTTTATGGCCATTACTACCATTTCCTGATAGTTATCAGTCTCCACCTGGCATCTTCATCTAGATATGGTTTCTCTAAGTCTGTTCAGATACCAAGACTTTTTTTTATCAGTTGACTTATAGAGCAATTTGCCTCCTCTGAAACAAAATGTCTATCACTAATTTTTTTTATGTTGAACCTTGTTTTTCTATCTATTTTATTTTCCCTCTCCCCTTGCTATATTACAGTACTACTGCAGAGGGAGAAGTGTTTGAAGTCCTGTTAGTGGGAGCATCACTTCTTGATGGAGGTCTAATGGAGGTCTATGTTGGCCCCATTGAGTAGAAATATGGTCACAGTGTCATAGTTCCCCTATGTTTTATCATTAACTGGTAACTCTCTTTTCTCTAAGCTCTTCTCTACCCCCACCCAAGCTCAACTTAAAGAGTACTCCTCTTTAACCATTTCATACAGGCTATATACAGACACTATTAACCCAAATGTACACCTTTGAGATATCAGACTCATATTATTTTATGAAATATGAGGCTTTTCTTGCTATTTAACTGCAGTGCCTTGCATTTTATTTGTTTTGCTACTTACTGAATTGGGAAAACAGTACCAAAATACTAGGATAGTATATAGGAAGTCACCATTTCTTAATTCAAGTTTGGGAGCATGTGGAAGAAAAGACATTTCAGAAACCTTAATGAGCATCTTTTATCCTCCAGGGCTCTACCAGTGCCCTCTTTTTCTGACTGTGGTACTCTGTTTTGTCCTTGCTATGTTTGGTAGGCAGCTTTTTTTTTTCTCTTGATGCTTCTTTTTTTACAGTCCTACAATCTTCACCCCAGAGCTGATGAGGCGCTTTCATTTTGACCTGCAGTATTTCTGTGTATTGCAGAACAGAGCCCTGCCATCTAGACTGCCTTTCTGCTTCATTTTGCTCCTGACCTAAACCCCCCTGCTATTCCAGGCCTGGCCTCTCATGACCAGAGACTGCTGACTCATCCTGGCCTGTGCCAAGCTGTGCAGTCGCTTAGTGATGTGGACAGGAGTCGAAGGACTAGAATGAGATCACTGAACTCATTTCACTTGTTGCTTACGGTACAGTCCAGCATGAGCTGGAAATGTAGGAACCTCAGCCTCCCGAGCAGAAAGAGTAAGTAGATAAAACACACCGCATCACCAAGTCCTCAACAAGCAGTAGTCGGGTGGTGGGTGGGGGCTCGCTCTATCATGGCCGTGGCTAGGGCATTCTGGTTCATCAGGAGTTTTCCTTTGTCCTCTCTTCTTCCTCTTCTCCACAGTCGTACCCTTCCCCCCTTCCCTGAACTTCCCTTCTGAAAATGTCTGGATGGTACAGCAGTGATCTGGGCAGAAATGAAATTTGGCTAATAAGCAGCCTCTGCACAAAATTCTGGAACAGTGACACTGTTGAAATTGCTTAGTTTAGTTTGTCTACTGGGAACTCACATGAACTTCCCAACAGAATTCAAGGGGATGAAATCTTTTTTGTTCTGTTTTGTTCTCCTTTCCTTTTTGATTCTCTTTTTCTTTCTGTTTTGAGGGAGGTAGTTTCAGGAGACATGGCTGCATTCTGGTGTGGTGTAAAGTTTTCCGTCGGGAGACAATAATGTACATTCCTCTGGCAGGACGGGATGGGTTTTTTTTTTTTTTGTTTCTCTTACTGTTGTTTATTTATAAGACATTTCCTCCCAGTTAGTGGAAGTTAGATCGTAAGAGGCTCCAGTGATTTTCCTTCCACCTCCCCTCCCTAATTTCTGTGCTTCAGCACTCTGGAACACTGTGAACTCGACAAACTAATCAGAGCAGGGAGCTTAACAGCCAGGCCTGGACACCCTCAAGAGACTGTGTGCTGATTCTCAGTCGTCACTCCTTGGATCAGGAACCATAGTCCTGGTGAGTGGTGAGGTTCCAGAATTTGATGTGTCAAGGATTTTATTCTTGGTGTCTCTAAGGCAAGCAGGAAATAAAGGGTGTTTTTAAAACAAACAAACAAAAAATACAATTAAAGAAATACTACCAAACAGTCAAATGGAATGATGAAGATTTTTAGCGGGCACAACTTAGAGCACTCTACGGACAATGGCAGAGCCTTGAGGCTATGCTCAGGAGCAGCCTGTAGGCATAGGTTTCATACTGCCACCGATGGATGTCAGCCTTGACATGCCTAGCAAACATGCTTGTTGGGGGGAGGAAGATAGGTGAGTGGGGGCAGGGAGGTAGTATTCAGGGAGGTAGATGGGGGAAGTGAAAGTGGAATTAATTGTTCATTTGGAGTTTCACTCCACCAGCTTTCCATGCATTTCTGTTCTGAGTATTTACATTATGCTCACAGTACTTACATGCCTAGCTAAGCAGGAGAGAATATCTATAGTGGATGTAGAGCAAACATTCTTGCTAATACTGTTCTAAAGATCACTTTGCTAACAACTGGTTGCTTTTAAACGTTAGGGAACCTCCCCACACCCGACCTTTGGAAAATATGATTTGTCACACCCTCTTCTTTATTCTTCTGCATTCATAGTATCAAGCAGAAGAATGCAATGAGAATCCTTATTTGGTTCCCAGGAAATTTATCATCCTGCCACAGGAAAACTAAATGACTGTCCTCACAGTATTAAACCCAAATATAGTATTGTCCTCAATTTAAGGGACACTGATTGAATGTGCTCTGGGAAGTTGTCGAAGGAATGGAGTGGGGATGGTTGCATCCTGTCTGATGTGAGACTGGCAGAGGAGTCCACGGACCAGCTTTCATAGCCAAAATGTGCCTTCCACATCCTTCTTAATAACTCATACTCTCCCTAAAAGTAGAATTCCTGTTGGAATGTGTTTTTATCCTTTACCATCAGGTCCCTGCCTAGTTTCTTTTCTAGAGGTATTCCATCTTACTGGGTTTTCTCATCTTCTTTCTATTTCAAGAATCTGGCATGTTCATTAAGCATGGAAAAAACAAAAGACGAAACAAAAACCAAAAAAACATGGTGGCCATAAAAGCATTCGATTGTGTGGCAGCATCTGAAGTGAATTGCTTTTTGGAAAGAGGGGGAGTCTTTGATGTCGCCAATATGGTTCTCATAGGCTGAAACTTCCAGGAATCACAACCCAGCCTAAGGGGCACTTACTTGATGTTCTTAAATTTTAGGAAAGAGATGTTATTTTATTGTTTTGGTTGTCCTTGCTGTTAACACATTGCCAGTAGATTTCTCCTAGAAGTTTAAAATGCTTTAGCAATGGATGATTTTACATTTAACCAGATGTATATTGTATGTGCCTGTTGCATGTACTCTTGTCCAAGTAGGTACAGCGATCCAGCGTATTACATTGGTACTCAGCTTTGGAATTTTGTTTGCTATACTGAGTGCTTCAGATTCTTAACCACAGAACTCATACATGCTCATATAGCCCAAGTTTCCTATAGAGACTGACCCCTGCTACAGCCTTATCAGGTTTGTCAGTGGCCTCTAGGACAGAGTCAGCTTCCTATCACAATTCCTATAGTTTGTGAGGCACATTAAATTCATCAGCTGTCATTGTGATAGAAAATAGTCTCAGAGTTTTATTAGGGCTAGTATGGTAAAAGTTTAATGTTATATTAATAGTAAAGTTTGCCTATTGTAGTTAGCTCGTGTTAGGACTATACTATTTATATGTATAATATTTCTTGGGTAATTTTCATTAGTTATCTTGTTTTCTAAAGAAAAAAAGTTGAAAGGGAAATGGTGTTTACAATACGTTATAAAAAATGTAACTAGCTCTTAGGCCATTACCACCAAGACCTACATAGGAGGTTAACATTCCTCAGTTAATATTCAAACTGCCCAGACTCCCAGGAAAACTGTCTCATAGTTTCTGGTAGGGATGTCTATTAGAACTGCGTTGAAGGCAAGCTAGATCTCTAACACTTTGAAAACATGTTATTAATGACTACATATGAAATTATATAAGCAACTTTAAGAAGAGAATAGGTGAAAACAAATATTTAAGAGTATTCCCAAGACATGACATTTAAAAAAATATAATCTGCCAGAGAGATTTTTCTTATAGTTGCTAAGGCTTGGAGTTCCAAGTGGTCGTGGAAGAATTTCATGACTAAATTGAAATATATAAGAAGTCAGAATTTGATTAGTGTACCTCTGATACAAAGGCAAGACGATGTATTTTTTGTGCTTCAATGGCTATATTAATATTACTTATTTTTTCAATACCTTGATCATAAGCCTTCACAATGCACTGTCAATAACTCAATTTCCTAGTGCTCACCTGGAAATTCTAATTTCATTAAATTAATGAGGATGCATGTTGTGAAATGTGTATTTTCTTGCGTGCATATTTTAGCTGTAAGTACTTCCTATATGCTATATTCATTTAATTAGGCAGTCGCAGATATACACAAATCAAATTGCTAAATAACAGAATTGTTGTTACCCCAATAAGAAATTGTTCTTTCTTATTTATATAGAAGTGGTTTTTAGTATTTATGTGATTCCCCTAAGAAAGACATATATTTTAAAAACTTAAAAAGGAGTTGATTGCTTGTATCATATGATTGTATATGTATGTTAGCTTATAAATGCCTACATATACGCACAACCATATATCTATATTCAGCTATTAAAAATATGACCAAATTCTAGCCAGGCTTACTTGCCTTTGATTTCAGTCAAATGTTTTGGTCATAATGACCATAAATGAAATGTAGCTGACTTTTTATCACACTGACAACACCGAAAGTTTACACAAATATTTATGAACAGTATTTGCAAAAAGAAAGATGTAGTTAGCTGATAAGTTTGGTAATTATCCTTCAGCAAATATACATATTAGCTTATCAACCTAAATTCTATTATGTACAGCTTCAAAATATTAATTGCTATATATATAAAAGTTTAAAATTAAGTAGAAAGAAATTAATTGATATCTTAAAATTGAGCATATGTTTAATGAATTCATTTTATTTTATAAGGCTGAGTACATATACAGATGATCCCATTTTAGTTTCTCAGCTATTTTACTATATGTTAAATATTTTGATGCTGTATTTACATATTAGCATCAGCAACCATAATTTTTCTGATAACTTTTCAAGATCAGCCAAATCATATCCTTGACAAGTCACACTTTTTCTCTGAAGTTTTCCATAAAACCCAAATTAAAAGTGATCTGACACTGGTAGCATTTTACAAATCTACCTTCATTTAGCATTTATATATGCTTTTAAGTTGAAGTTTTTTCTATATATGAAACTGCAAGTGGTTAGAGGGCAGGTTTTGTGTTTTAGGTTTGTTAATTTCTCTCCCAACCAGTGTCAGATTGGCTCAGTCTGAGTGGAGGATCAATGAATAGGTGATGAATGAATGGATATCTACATGTCAGTGCATTGACAGTGAATACATCTTGCTTATCATAGTGAAAGAAACAGCCGGACACAGTGGCTCATGCCTGTAATCCCAGCACTTTGGGAGGCCGAGGCGGGCGGATCACCTGAGGTCAGGAGTTCGAGACCAGCCTGATAAACATGAAGAAACCCCCTCTCTACTAAAAATACAACATTAGCCGGGCATGGTGGCGCATGCGTGTAATCCTAGCTGCTCGGGAGGCTGAGGCAGGAGAATCGCTAGAACCTAGGAGGTGGAGATTGCAGTGAGCCAAAGTCGTGCCATTGCACTCCAGCCTGTGCAACAAGAGCAAAACTCCATCTCAAAAAAAAAGAAAAGAAAAGAAAAAAACATGTCCATGTCTAGAACACAAATTGGCAGAGTCTTCTATATCTGAGCCTCCTTAACTCCCACATTAGATCTTCCAACTATCTGACAGCATTTCCAACCATTTACTAAGATTGCTAAGGTTCCCCACAATGCTTGGGTAATTTCTGATGGAACATGGGATCTTCAGTTTGCAGTAGTTCCATTCATTTTCCTGGACTTATGAGGGTGACCGAATATCCAGCTTGGTCAGCTCATGTAGTCAGAAAGTACCAGACTTACCTATAATGCATCATATTAACCAACAGTCCCTCCAGCTTGTCAATACTTGTTCTTCCTTTCCTCAAACTTCCACATCCGTGGAGGTCAGGCTGATGTCAGTTATGGAAAGGCATGAAGACTGGCTATGGATGCCCTGTGAACTAGACAGGAGAGAGGCGGGGCAGACATACAGCACAATAAAGAGCAGGGGCAAGAAGACTGGCAGCCAAATCATTTGCACTGTCTTAACAAGCACTAATTAAATGCCCTGTTTGAGGTAAATAATAGCTGAAAATAGCCTACTGCAGTTGTTTCTCATCAATGAGTAGAGAAATAGGTGGAATCACTTAGTGCTGTTTCATTCATTAAGCTGCAGCACACTAAGCCTTCTTCAGAGGAGAGGGGCACCAAGTCGAGCTAGCCTCTAAAGTACCATTTGCTAAATGCCCATTCTAGCACCCTAGATGGTATTGTGCTGACAAGAATCACATCCAGAGAGTAACTGCATGTACTACAAACTGACCCTAATAAACAATTTAAAAAAAAAACCCAAAATATTGTGTATAATAAAACATGCTTTAATCTTACCCATTTTCAATTGTCAATCAACTTAGCAATCCCCAAACTATATCTCATTCTGTCCCCTAAACCAATTTTTTTCCTGGAGTTTATATATATAGAATATTCCTTTTCGTCTCTTTATTTTCCCTGCTCACTCTCTAGTAAACTGAATTCCTAGATGTAAGCAGCCACAGAAAGAAAAGTGATTCACATAATGGATAATTAACCCTTGAACAATGGAAAGTTAACTCTCCATAGAAATGCCAAAAACTGAAATGTTTTGTTATTGAATTTATTCTCCTTTGGGAGTTAACACTAATGGAGAACATCTCCATTAGTACAAACCTGGCACCAAACAACCTGTTCATCCTTAAGCTATGAATGCTGCACTCACCTTCCAGTTCATTCTGGCAGGATTTGTAACACAATGTCCTCCTGGGTAGTCATGTACAAACCACTCCGAAGGGCAAAATTATATGAGTGCCTAATCCACTTGTGAAAATTAAAGAAAGGGGATCTTTTTTATGAAAAACACCTAATATGGAAAGACATAAATTGTAATAAAAAGTGTTAGCACCTTGCACCTCCTGCTAATTGCATTCCTAGTCAAGAGGAAGCAAAATTGTATAACAAATGTCAGAGGTACATCATGAACAAAGTGCAAAGAATTGTCTGTTCCTTTCAATAGTGAATTGAAAAAGAGTAGCAAACCTGTTTAAGCTATGTATAGTAGCTTTAATTTTGGCTCCTAACCTTTCTGGGACTCATCTATTTCATTTGTCTAATGAGGATAATAGTAACCCATTCAACTTACTGTACACAGACTGTACTGTACACAGACTGTTTCTTCATTATATTCATTAAAGATGGATTTAACATTAATTCATTCATTCACCCATGTATTTTTTAGTTTAAGAAATATTTTTGGGCCAGATGCAGTGGCTCACACCTATAATCCCAGCAGTTTGAAAGGCCAAGGCAGGAGGATCCCTTGAGCCCAGGAGTTTGAGACCAGTCTGGGTAACATAGCAAGATCTCATCTCTACTAAAATTTTTAAAAAGTAGCCAGGCATGATGGCACATGCCTGTAGTCCCAGCTACCGAGGAGGCTGAGATGGGAGGATCCCTTATCCCTTGAGCCCAGGAGTTTGAGCTTGCATTGAGCTATGATTGCACCACTATACTCCAACCTGGGCAACAGAGCAAGACTGTGTCTCAAAAAACAAACCAAAAAAAAAAAAAAAAAGGAAAGAAACATTTTTGAATCCCTACTCTGTGTCAGTTATTATTCAAGAAGCTAAAGATTGATTCATTTATTAATAAATATTTATTGAGGAATTCATATTATGTACCCAACACTATTCCAGGGGTTGGGGATACTGCAGTAGATTTAGAAAAAAAAAAACAGAAATCTTTGTTCTCCTTGTAGTTACTTTCTAGATAGGAGAGACAGAAGATAAAATATATATATATATGTAAAATATGTGGCATTTTATGATAAGTGCTATGGAGAAAATTTAAAGAGGAGAAAGAGTGTATACATGTGTGTTTGTGTCAGGGATAAGTTTGCAATTTTAAATAGGGTGGAGAGGTAGAGAGGGAAGTCTTCATTGGGGGACAGCATTTGAGAAAAGACCTCAATGAAAGTGAAGAAGCAAGTTTTGTGGATATCTAAGCAAAAGCATTTTCAACAGTGGAACCATCAAGTGCAAAGGCCTTGGACATGAATGTATCTGGAAAGTTTGAGTGACAACAAGGAAGTCTGTGTGGCAGAATCTGAGTGGGTAAGCATGAGACTAGTAGGAGATGAAGTAAGGGAGACAAGGGTGTCTGATCACATGGGCCCTAATATGCTGTTGTGAAGGCATTGGCTTTGTCATTTACAATACAAAGATGAATACAACATGGTCTCAAGTTGCTCACTAGAGGAGAGGCAGATAGGGAAACAAGTTGGGGTAATACCATTATGCTAAGTGCCGTAACTGAAGGATGTTCAAGGAACCATGGAGGCACAGTGAGTGTTCAGCTGAACATATCTTGGAGTGGGGGATCAGAGGAAGTTTCACAGAAGAGCTGATAAATCCGTGCTGGGAATGGAAGGATTTTCCCAGATGGTCAGAGGGAGGAAGAACATTCAGTAAGGGAGCCAGCAGGGGCAAAGGCAGTTAACTAGAAATAGCATGGCAGAGCTGGGGAACACTATCACTTATGTGTAGTAGGGGAGTACAGAGAAACGATGCTGTAGATGCAGGCAGGGAACAATCATGTTGGACCCTGATTGCCATGCAAAGAAGTTTTAACTTCATCTTGTGGCATTCAGGGAGCTATTGAAAGGTTTTAAGTAGAGAAGGTTAATGATGAAATTGTGTGATACAAGATCACCCTGTCAGCAGGGTAGAGGATAGATTATAGGAGTGGGAGAATAGAGGCAAGAAAATGAGTTAGGAGGCAACTGAAATTGTTCAGACAGGAAACAATGAAGCCCTGAACTAGGACAATAACTGTGGGAATAGACAGAGAGGAGGAGATATGTTCAAGAGATAGGCAAAATTGACACAATTTAATAACCTTTGGGCTGGGCATGGAGAGAAGGAATTTTGGATTGCTCCCAGGTTTCTGCCTTATACAACTAAGCAAGAAAAGCTATGAGGAGGAAGAGTAGATTTTGGAGGATGGGGGAAGATTACAAATTTACTTTTGAAGGTGTTTAATTTGGGGGTGTTAGGGGAGCATCCAGACTGGCAGTTGGATTTAGTCAGGAATGCTGGAGATGTCAGGGACAGACTTTGGCAGTCATCTGAATCATCCAAATCATGGTAATAGTTAAAATTATGGAGTGGACATTTCTCAGGAAAAATATATTGAAAGATGACAAAAGGGAGAAGGTCCTTTATATACAGTGCATTTCTGGAATGGAGAGAGGAAGAGGAGCCTGCAGAGATTATCATGAGCAACTATTATGTGCCAGTCATTGTGCTAGATAGTGGGAGAACCAAGATGACTGGCACCCAGATCCTGCTGCAGAAGTGTCCATAGCTTGTCCAAATATAAGAGGTTCTTATTACCATCATCACCAACCAAAGGATAATGCTAACAGAGGGAATGCCCAAACTTAACTAGGAAAATCGTGCAAAATATTTAATCGGCATCAAGGGAGATGATTATAAAGGCAAAATCCTGGAGAGTTTGCTGCATTCATTTTTGCTATACACCTCATTTCTGATCTTTCTAAAGCTTGTATGTGTATGTTCCAGTGTTAGCATGGGTTCAAGCTATTGGCAAAACAAGCCAGGTGTAAATTATGGTAGAATTGAAATCGATAGTGCTTTGAAGTACTGGAGTGCCCAGTTCACATCAGGGCATGCGTCTGTGTTCACTGAAACATGGCTATCAAGTGCACCTCGAGTCATTAGATGTGTTATCCAGTGAATAACAGCATAATGATATTTTAGCAGAGCAGCCTTATGATAAATTCTGCTTTAGTGAAACTCCATATACAGAGCAATTTCTCCTGGCCGTGTACATTGCATGGCAAAGAAAGGATATCCTGCTGCGTATCAGAAGGCTGTAATTTCATTTAGGGGTTCTATTGACATCGTAAACTGCAAGAGCAGAGCTCAAGTGGCTATTTAAGTCATAGGAACTTCAAGCTAAAATTACTGCCTAGTCCTAATCGCCACCTCCAGGGGACTCCTGCCTATACATATGTGCTTTATGTTTCTATCTTTGTGTCTATAAATACTCAATCACTCCAGAGGCTGAGGCGATAAGCTGTTCTAAAATATGACAGGTATCTGTCACGTTTGCAGCTGATACAGGCTTAAGGGCTAAACGCAGTTATATTATTCATTGACGATCAAATGATAAAAGGGGCCAGAACTCCCCAACAAAGTTCAGAGTACAGGAGTTCTTGTTTCTTTGCTTTAAGACATTCTCTACTCAGTTTAAAGTCAGGATCTTCCAGCATGTTGAGGCTAGAAAAAAGGAACTTTTACATTTACCTGTGCAGCAAGGTTAACAGCCTATACATCCTTACCCCAACTTGCCCTTCTTTGCCTTGACCCATGCTCACTTGTGAAAATAATAGTACTGTAGTCTTGGTATTTAGTAAGGCATTATATAGTGTCCCCTAAAAGTGATTCCCTAGATATCTAACAGGGACATTCTATTTTGATATTTACTCAAACTGAAAATAGGAAACCATCATATTGGAGTTGAATGCTTATACTCTAAGGAAAATACATTTATATAAATTTGCAAATTGTCAAATAGTATTTATTAAGTGATACTTTAAAATTGACTCCAGGAAACCAATAGGAAAGATTCAAAGTTAAGTATGTTTCTCCTTAGTTTGTAATTAAATTTTCATGTTCATGCTCCCACATGAACAATCAACTTTGTCAAAAGTGGGCACTACAGGCTGGGCGCGGTGGCTCATGCCTGTAATCCCAAGCACTTTGGGCACTTTGGGAGGCGAGGCAGGCAGATCACCTGAGGTCAGGAGTTCAAGACCAGCCTAGCCAACATGATGAAACCTCGTCTCTACTAAAAATACAAAAATTAGCTGGATGTGGTGGCACACACCTATAATCCCAGCTACTCGGGAGGCTAAGGCAGGAGAATCGCTTGAAACTGGGAGGGAGGTGGAGGTTGCAGTGAGCTGAGATCACACCACTGCACACTCCAGCCTGGGCGACCGAGCAAGACTCCGTCTCAAAACAAACAAACAAACAAACAAACAAACAAAAAAAGTGGCCACTATGAGATTGGACACTACAATCTAACTTTCTTCAGTCATTATGCTACTTATGTTTTATTTG